>NC_000001.11:243153818-243305333 GCF_000001405.40 Homo sapiens | reverse complement strand
TCTTATTTCTTTTTTTTTTTTTTCTTTTTTGAAATGGAGTCTCACTCTGTTGCCAGGTTGGAGTGCAGTGGCGTGGTCTCAGCTTACTGCAACCTCCGCCTCCCAGGTTCAAGTGATTCTCCTGCCTCAGCCTCCCAAGTAGCTGGGACTACAGGCACGTGCTACCAGGCCCAGCTAATTTTTGTATTTTTAGTAGAAACGGGGTTTCACCATGTTGGCCAGGATGGTCTCAATCTCTTGACCTCGTGATTCGCCCGCTTCAGCCTCCCAAAGTGCTGGGATTACAGGCGTGAGCCACCGCGCCCGGCCGTGATTCTTATTTCTACAAGAAAACACAAATATTTTACAACTGATGAAGAAATGGGAACGTGATTTGGAAAAGAACTCAATTTTAGGCCTTTCATCCTTTAATAATCTGAGGAAATTTTTTAAAGTGTATTAAAATGTCATCAAGTAAGTCTGATAATGACTAAAACTAGAAGTTCAGCAAACATTCAAATATATTTTAAGATCATTATGCTTTTGGTATGACTATAAATGGACGATTTCACTTTACCTCAAAAACTTCAATTGGGATTCCTCAATTTCACACTTTTCCTCATAAGTAAGTTTTAGCTTCTCCTATAGAAAAGAAAAATAGAAGTACATTTTTCTCTATGTCCTGTATTTTATAAGTAAACTTTAATTTTTAATATTAAACTCAATTTTTTTCTTTTTACCCAACGTGGGGGAAACATGTCTTCTTAGAAAATATTTTCCCTAGTCCACTTGAATTTTTCTATTTTTATTGTGTGAATGCCTGCAAAGAACCGCTGAGTCATAAAATTGATTTTCTTTGTCTTTCAAAATTGCATATATCAGGTCTTATCCCTAAAAGTGTGACTCTGGGGAAAAACAGTTATAACCCATAAGGTCCATGAGGGCAAAGATCAAATCTTATTAGAATCCTTCATTGTGGCTGTTGAATATTTGACATATAATAAATATGTGCTAGATGAATGATCAAAAGTAAAGTTTTATATCACATGATGATAGACTAACTCCTACAAGCCTCTGTTGGTATCCAGTTATTCTTTCATTCAACAAATATTTATTGTGTATCTAAGATGAAGGTGGCTTGAACTGCAAGGAACTTACGAAATATCCCAGAAAGGAATAGAAAAATGAAGAATTTCAATTACAGTTGACCCTTAAATAACATGGAGGTTAGGGTCATTGACCCCTGTACAGTTGGAAATCCATGTATAACTTTTTTTTTTTTGAGACAGAGTCTCACTCTATCACCAAGGCTGGAGTGCAGTGGCGCAATCTCAGCTCACTGCAACCTCCACATGCTGGATTCAAGCTATTCTTGTGCCTCAGCCACCCAAGTAGCTGGGATTACAGGCATGTGCCACCACGCCCGGCTAATTTTTGTATTTTTAGTAGAGATGGGGTTTCATCATGTTGGCTAGGCTGGTCTCGAACCCCTGGACTCAAGTGATCTGCCCGCCTCAGCTTCCCAAAGTGCTGGGGTTACAGGTGTGAGCCACTGCGCCTGGCCCCATGTATAACTTTTGACTCCCCCAAAACTTAATTACTAATAGCCTACTATTGACTAGAAGACTTAACAATAATATAAACAATTAACACATATTTTGTATGCTATATGTATTACATACTATATTATTACAAGAAAGCAATCTAGAGAAAAGATAATGTTATTAGGAAAATCATAAGGAAAAGAAAATAGTATTTTCTACTCATTAAATGGAAGCGGGTCCTCATAAAGGCCTTCACCCTACCATCTTCACATTGAGTAGGCTGAGTTGGAGGAGGAAAAGGAGGGGTTGGTCTTGTCTTCTCAGGGATGGCAGAGGCAGAAGAGATGCAGGAGTTAGGAGGGAAGGCAGGAGAGGCAGGCAAACTTAGTTAACTTTATGGAAACACGTGGTAATTTCTGTCTCACTTTGTTATGCTCTTTAATTTCTCCAAAAATGTTTCTATATGATATCTATCCTTCTTCCATTTGCTTTAGTTTCAGTGCCTATATTATAGAAGGGTCCACGTCATAAAAGAAGTCAAAAGCAGTCTTGAATAATCAGAACCCTTCTGCCAGATTATCTCATGTCAATTTGTTTCCTGGCACTGATTCTTCTATGTCTTCTTCCTCATTTTCTGGCACTGGTTCAGGAGCACTCATCTCCATCAACTCATCTTCTGTTAAGTCCTTTGTGTGGTGTCTATTAGCTCTCGAATTTCTCCAAGATCTCTATCTTGAAACCCTTCACTCCCAACCTTTTCCACCACATCCACAATCTCTTTCATGATTTCCTTGATTGACTGTTGTAAATCTTATAAAGTCATGCACCACATTTGGACAAAGTTTTCTCCAGCAGGAATTCATTGTTATGGGTTTGATGACTTTCATGGCTTTTTCTACAACAATAATGGCATTTTCAATGCTGTAATCCTCTCACACTTTCATGATGTTCTTGCTACTGGGGTTCTCTTCCATTGTGTTGAAAATGCTTTCCATAGAGTACCCATATGTAATAAGCCTTAAAGGTCCTTATGACTGCCTAGATCTTGAGGCTGAATTAGAGACATTGTGTTTGCAGGCAAGGAGACCACTTTGATGCCTTTAGTGTTGAACTCATGGGGTTCTGCGTGGCCAGAGCCATTGTACAATATCAAAAAACTTTAAAAGGCAGTCTCTTACTGGCAAGGTACTTCCTAACTTCAGGGACAAAGTATCAATGAAATCAGTGTAGAAAAAGGTTTCTCATTGTCCAGGCCTTCTTGTGGCACAACCAAAAGACTAGCAGTTGGTGTTTATCTTTTCCCTTCAAGTCTCGTGAGTTAGGAGCTTTATAGATAAGGGCAGTCCTGATCATAAACCTGAGTACATTTGCACGAAACAGTAGAGTTAGCCTATCCCTTCCGGCATCAAATCCTGGTGCTCACTTCTCTTCCTTACTAATAAATGTCCTTTGTGACATTTTTTCCCCCAGAGTAGAGCACTTACATCTGCATTAAAAACCTATTCAGGCAGATATCATTTCTCCTAAATAATTTTCGTCCTTTTTTTTGTTTTGTTTTGTTTTGAGACAGATTCTCACTCTGTCACCCAAGCTCGAATGCACTGGTGCAATCTTGGCTCACTGCAACCTCCACCTCCTGGGTTCAAGTGATTCTCATGCCTCAGCCTCCCGAGTAGCTGGGATTACAGGCACGTGACATCATGCCCAGCTAATTTTTGTATTTTTAGTAGGGACAGGGTTTCTCCATGTTGGCCAAGCTGGTCTTGAACTCCTGACCTCAGGTGATCCGCCCACCTCAGCCTCCCAAAGTGCTGGAATTACAAGTGTGAGCCACCACACCCAGCCTCTCCTAAATAATTTTCATAATTGCATCTTGGAACTTGTCTGCTGCCTCTTGGTCAACAGAAGCTGCTTCTCTTGTTATCTTGACATTGTTAAGACCAAATCTCTTCCTAAAATTATCAAACCATCCTTTGCTGGCATTAAAATCTCCAGCTTTATATCCTTTACTTTCCTTTTGTTTTAAGTTGTCATAAAATGACTTTTTTTTTCCTCAAATTATATTAGAGTCTACAGGTATGCTTTTCTTATAGAAATCCTGTACCCATATAAAATCTGCATTTTCCATGACAGATAAAAAGGCATTGTGCAAAAGTACAAAGTTTTTGTGCGTGTTGGCACGGCTGCAGTGATGGCTCTACAAATTTCCTTTTCTTTTTGTACAATGGTCCTTATATTGGATTAATTTATCTTGAAATGGGGCAACAGACTTGAAATGGGGATGCAGACTTCAATCTATGGAACATATCAAGCAATGTAACTTTTTCCTGTAATGTCATGAATTTGCTTCATGGGAGCACTTCCAGCATCACTAGTGGCACTTTGCATGGGCCTCATGGTGTTATTCAAGGTTTACAGTATTGCACCAAACATGATGAAAAGTACACGAGAACCACCAAGAGATCACTTTTTACTGTGATATGCAATTTACTGGAAAGACAAACTGTTTATGCAGAGATTAACTGGTGTCACATGATGTTTTAAGCAGACACTCAAAACACTTGAACTCACCACAATAGCAATAGGAGGTGGTTATGAAATTCTTATAGTAGTACAGTATGTACTACATTTTACTTTATGCTGTTATAATTTAATACTGCATCTTTATGTTTTTTTGCATTCCTCCTGAGAATGACTCCGTGTACAGTCTGTGATAGTGTACATAAGTTTTGAAAAATTTTAACTTTTTATAACAGATTTGTGTATATTTTATGGTAGTAGATGATAAAATAGACTATTACCTACATATATTTTATTCATTTATGACATACCTCTTTCTTAATTTTTTCATATTTCTAAGCTACATGGTTCATCTGCAAGTTTTTTTAAATTGCCACAAATCTCAAAAAAAATTCTGGTACATTTCTTCAGAAAAATACACATATAAGTGAACCCACACAATACAAACCTATCTTATTCAAGGGCCAACTGTTCATAAATTGCTCTAGTGAAGTATATGGAAACTGAAAAATTTAGAGAGGCAGGAACTCCTAATTCAGCCAAAGATAAGTAAAGAAGGCCTCACAGAGGAAATGTTAAGATTTGAAGGATAATTTCCAGTAGAGCAGAAGGCACAGAGGTTGTCCAAACCATGTTTGGAAAGTAAGTAGATCAGTATCACAGGAATGTAAAATGTGAGGTGGAGAGGTGATTGGAGATGGGCAAAATAGGTAAAGGTGGGCCACAAGAAGAATAAAAATATCAAGACTTTTATTTGGTACACATGTCTCCTGCACTTTCCCTCTAGAAGAAACACTGGAGGGCCACTGAAAGCTTTTTATCAGAATTGAGTCTTAAATCATAATTGAAGTGTGAAGAAAGGGAAACCAGTAATTACAAATACATAGGTAAGAGATAAGCACATGAACAAAAGCAATCAAGCAGTAGGAACTAAAAAGAAAGGATTTAGTATAGAAATATTTAAGAGAAAAACTGAGAATTTTATGACAGAATAGATATAGGGGAGAAAAATACACTAAAAATAATCCTGGGTTTCTGAAGTGAGCAATCAAGTGAATACTGGTACTAAAGATTTTTTTCAGACCAACAAAAAAAAGCAAAAGGGAATCATAAAAATAATTAATTCATGGCCAGGCACAGTGGCTCACGCCTGTAATCCCAGCACTTTGGCAGGCCAAGGCGGGCGGATCACGAGGTCAGGAGTTCAAGACCAGCCTGGCAAACATAGTGAAACCCCGTCTCTACTACAAAAACAAAAATTAGCTGGGTGTGGTGGCATGCGCCTATATTACCAGCTACTCAGGAGGCTAAGATAGGAGAATTGCTTGAACCTGGGAGGCGGAGGTTGTAGTGAGTCAAGACCATTCCATTGCACTCCAGCCTGGGCAACAGAGTGAGACTCCGTCTCAAAAAAAAAAAAAAATTAATTCAAAGAAGACAGAAAAAGAGGTAAAGGGGAACAAATAAGAGATAGGTAAAGAAGAAGCCAAATAGCAAGATGGTGTATTTAAACTGAGTTGTATAAATAATCACAATAAATGTCAGTGGTCTAGATACCCAAATTAAAAAGCAAATATGGCCAGGCACGGTGGCTCATGCCTGTAATCCCAGCACTGTGGGAGGCCGAGGCAGGCGGATCACCTGAGGTTAGGAATTCGAGACCAGCCTGACCAATATGATGAAACCCCGTCTCTACTAAAAATACAAAAATTAGTCGAGTGTGGTGGCATGTGCCTGTAATCCCAGCTAATTGGGAGGCTGAGACAGGAGAATAGCTGGAACCTGGGAGGCAGAGGTTGCAGTGAGCCAAGATCATGCCATTGCACTCCAGCCTGGGCAACAAAAGCGAAACCCTGCCTTTGTGTGGGGAGGGAGAAAAAAAAGCAAATATTGTCAGATTGGATAAAAAAGCAAAACCCAACTATATGCTTTCTATAAAAACCCACTTCAAAAAAGATACAAATAGGTTAAAAGTTAAAAGTAAAAGGAGGGAAAAGATATACCATGCTAACACTAATCAAAAGAAAGTGACATTGAATCAAAATACAAAACTCATGTGTTTTTCTCTACACTAGCAATTAGGAGTTAGAAAATAAAAATTTGGAAGATATGTGTCATTTATGATAGCATAAAAAATAAAAAGTCAGGAATAATTCTAATGAAAGATGTATGAAACCTTCACTCAGAAGACTATGAAAGGTTATTGACAAAAATTAAAGATGACTCAAATAAGTGGACTGATATGCAGTTTACAAGGATTAGATAATATCATAAAATGTTGATTCTCAAATGACCTATAATTTATAATTTAAAGCCATCTCAATCAAAATCCCAAATGACTTTTGGAACTTCACAATTCTGAACTGTATTTGGAAATGCTAAAGGCCAAAGGATAAAGAACAATGTTGGAAGACTTGGTCTGCCAGATTTCAGGCTATAACAATCAAGACAGTATAGTATTAGCACAATTAACTAAAACACAGTCCAGTAATAGACCCAAATATATATGGACAACTTATTTAGGAGAAAGGTACTATCATAAAGGCAAAGGACTACCTTTCCAAGAAATGGTGCTTGGATGTATAAACACATAGGAAAAGAACAAACTATGACCCCATATACAAAAATAAATTCCAGGTAGGTTGTAGATCTAAATGCAAAAAGTAAAACCATAGGCCAGGCATGGTAGCTTGCATCTGTAATCCCAGCATTTTGGGAGGCCGAGGCAGGTGGATCACTTGAGGTCAGGAGTTCAAGACCAGCCTGGCCAACGTGGTGAAACCCCGTCTCTACTAAAAATACAAAGTTAGCTGGCCGTGGTGGGAGAATCGCTTGAACCCGGGAGGCGGAGGCTGCAGTGAGCTGAGATTGTGCCATTGCACTCTAGCCTGGGCAAAAAAAGCGAAACTCTGTCTCAAAAAAAAAAAAAAAAAAAAAAAAGGCAGGGTGCGGTGGCTCATGCCTGTAATCCCGGCACTTTGGGAGGCCAAAGCGGGCGGATTGCCTGAGGTCAGGAGTTCGAGACTAGTCTGGCCGACATGGTGAAACTCCGTCTCTACTAAAAATACAAAAAAATTAGCTGGGCATGGTGGCATGCGCCCGTAATCCCAGCTACTTGGGAGGTTGAGACTGAGGAATTGCCTGAACCAGGGAGGTGGAGGTTGCAGTGAGCTGAGATCGCACCACTGCACTCCAGCCTGGGTGACAGAGTGAGACTCCGTCTTAAAAAAAAAAAAAAAAAAGTGAAACTATAATTTCTAGAAGACTATGTAGAAGAATTAGCTTCATGATTGTAGTTGGAAAAAAACTTTTTTAAAAGGACATAAAAAACAACTACATAATTAAGGAAAACAAACTGAAGTTCTAGCCATCAAAGCAAGCAAGCAAACTATCAAGAGAGTTACAAGCGAAGCCACAGAGTGGGAATATATATTTATAATATGTATACTGACAAAGGGCTTGCATTCAGAATATATAAAGAACTCCCCAAATAAATATGTCAGATACATACCTTAATAAAAATAATAAGAAGGATATCTGAATAGGCGGCTCACAGAAGAGGCATCAAATGGACAATAAATGTATGAAACAATACTCAATCACACTAGTAGTTAGGGAAATGCAAATGAAAATCACAAGATAGCACTATAAGTTCACCAGAAAAATTGACAATACTATATGATTAGTAAGGATATGGAGCAAAGGTATCACTCATGTACTACTGGTAGGAGTGTAAACTGATAAAACCCCTTGTATGGGTAGGAGTGTAAACTGATAAAACCCCTTGGAAGGTTGTCATTACCTACTCAAGTTGAACACAGACATATCCTGAGAGCAAGAATTCCACTCCAACATACATATGCAACGTAAATTTGTGTCATACACACCAACAGATGAAAGAATGTTCATAGCAGCACTGCTCACAATAGCTGCAAACTGGAAACAACACAAACGTTCCTTGACAGCAGATGGATAAAGTCATATGTTCATATAGCAGACCCACCAAAGAAAATGAACAAACTTCGGCCAATGTAACAACATGGATGAATCTAACAAATATAATGGTGGACAACAGAAACCAGATACAAAGAATACATACTATACAATTCCACTTATATAACATTGAAAAAACAGAACTCAAAAGTGTTTAATGATGCATACTTGAGTATTTTCAGAAAATTCAGGATCATGATTAGCTTTAATGGCATGAAGGGGCAGTAACTAGGAGGAAGCATAAAGTGGTGATAATCACATAGGTGTTCATTTACAGATAAATCTTTGAGCTGTAAATTTTTGTTTTGTGTACTTTACTGAATGTTATGTTAAATTGTGTCTTAGAAAATATAAAGGAGGAGGGTATAATCAACCAATGTACATGTTATACAAAGCTGCTACTAGGTTTAGAGCAATGAGGACTGATGGCTGGAAGTCATTAATGACCTTAAAAAGAGCAGTTGGGGCCGGGCGCGGTGGCTCACGCCTGTAATCCCAGCACTTTGGGAGGCCGAGGCGGGCGGATCACGAGGTCAGGAGATCGAGACCACGGTGAAACCCCGTCTCTACTAAAAATACAAAAAAAAATTAGCCGGGCGCAGTGGCGGGCGCCTGTAGTCCCAGCTACTCGGGAGGCTGAGGCAGGAGAATGGCGTGAACCCGGAAGGCGGAGCTTGCAGTGAGCGGAGATCGCGCCACAGCACTCCCGCCTGGGCGACAGAACGAGACTCCGTCTCAAAAAAAAAAAAAAAAAAAAAAAAAGAGCAGTTGGGGTGGACTACAGGGGGACGAAGCTCAACTGAAGCATACTGAAGCAAGAATAGGAGGTAAAGAAGTGGAGACATAAATATAGACAACTGCTTGGAAAAAGTTTGGTATGAAAAGGAGAATGTAGATGTAGGGTGATAGTTGGAAGTGAATGTAGGGTCAGGAGAATATATTTTGGGTTTGTTTGCTTTATGGGAGCTATTAAAGAATATATTCTGCTAAGAATAAACTATTGGCCGGGTGCAGTGGTTCACACATGTAATCCCAGCAGTTTGGGAGGCTGAAGATGGTGGATCACTTGAGGCCAGGAGTTTGAGACTAGCTTGAGCAGCATGGCGAAACCCCATCTCTACCAAAAATACAAAAATTAACCAGGTGTGGTAGCACATGACTGTAGTCTCAGCTACTTGGGTGGCTGAGGCAGGCGAATTGCTTGAACCCAGGAGGTACAGGTTGCAGTGAGCTGAGATTGCGCCACTGCACTCCACCCTGGGTGACAGAGCTAGATCCCGTCTCAAAAAAATAAATAAAATAAAAAGAATAAACCATTGATAGGGAAAAGATACAAGAGAAAGAAAAGTCCCAGAATGAAACCCTTGGAAAAAGTGAAAAACACTTGTGAGGTAGAGCACACAAATGCAGAAATTGACCTTTTTCATAAACAAGGAAAAAAGATGAGTCTCCAATAGTCATAAACACAGTGCTAGGGGGAGGCATAAAAGAGAAAGGAATTCTAATGCAGAAAAGGGAAGAGAGAAAACATGCTATTCGGGAAAGCAGAATGAGAGGGCGCATTTCAACTATACCCTGAAGACTGGAAACATTTCAATAGGTAGAGGGTAAGAAGGGAACATTTTGGGGAGGGAGGACTGCATAAACCAAAGCCAGTTCTTCAAAGAGAAATGAAAGTGGATTATAAATTTATGAAGCAGCAACTGGTGAGTGGTCTGCATGCCTACAGATAAGATTTGTAAGAGTGACGGGAGAAGAGTGAGGCCGAGTACAGTGGCTCATGCCTGTAATCCCAGCACTTTGGGAGGCCGAGGCGGGTGGATTACGAGGTCAGGAGTTTGAGACCAGCCTGGCCAACATAGTGAAACCCCGTCTCTACTAAAAATACAAAAATCAGCCGGGCATGGTGGCGCACACCTGTAGTCCCAGCTACTTGGGGTGCTGAGGCAGGAGAATCGCTTGCACCCGGGAGGCTGAGGTTGTGGTGAGCTGAGATGGCACCACTGCACTCCTGCCTGGGCGACAGAGCAAGACTCTGTCTCAAAAAGAAACAAGAAACAAAAAACAAAAGACAGGAGAAGAGTGTGAAACTAGTTCGAACATTAGTTTGACGCAAATTGTGGATGACTTGAGACATTGGTCTTTATCCTATAGGTATTAAGTAGCTACTGTAAATTATTCAGAGAGGGAAAAAAAAGATACAATTTACTTAGTCTTTCCAATTTTCTTTTTTGAAGAAGGATACTCTTTCCCAAGTAGAATGAAGCTTGGATTAGGGACTAAGACAGGAGAGGGTGACTGGGCAGAAAGAATCTTTAGAAAACTATATCATCTGTGGATAATAATGAGAACCTGAACTATGATTCATTCTATCTTCCCCTGGAACATTCCATTTACAGTGTTAATCTCACTCTTTCATCATTGTTGATCAACTCTGACATGTCAAATTTAATGCAAAGAAGACTTCAGGTTAGCAAGAGAAGAATAAACGTCTGTTACATACATAAAAGGATTGAAAAGTATTATTTAGTCTTAAAATAGAATTGTTTTTGACGCTTTGGGAAATTAGGACGTTCAAAGGCAGCTGTGGGGGGGGGGGGGAATTTAGAAAGTCACAGTATGCCTAGGAAAGATACACACTCAGAAACATCCTGAGAAGACTGTAAGCTTTCACCTATGGCTGATCCCTAGGCTCAGAGCAAGCCTGGTTAAATGGGAAAAGAATGTCCCAGCACAGACCCAATCTGAAAAGACTGGGAGAGGTGGGTTGTTCTCTCTCTCTCTCTCTCTCGCTCTTTCTCTCTCTCTCTCTCTCCCCCCCCCCACCTTTTGGGGGGAGTGGAGGGTGTTTGTTTTCAGCTCCTGGAATTCAAGGAAATCTCTGTCAAACATTAGCTGAACATGAGCTAATAGAACAAAGACTTCAATAATCACACGATATGGAATAGTCTTCACAAAAATAGTATGGAAATGTCTCAAAACAAAAGGAGTATTACAGCCTTCAAAAGTAAAATAAGACAGCAAATTCTAGAAAAGAAGGAGTTAAAGATTTCCAGAGTTATCACATTACAATAGGGAAATGCTCAATTTTCAACAACACAATAACAAGGAATACAAGGAAACAGGAAAACATGCTCACTCAAAAGAACAGGATAAGCTGACAGAAACTACGCTCGAGAAACCACAGACATCAGACTTACTGGGGAAAGACTTTAAAATGACTGTGTTAAACACACTCAAAGAGCCAAGAGACAAACATGGACAAAGAACTAAAGAAAATCAGGAAAACACATTATAAAAAGGAACCAAACAGAAATTCTGGAGCTAAAAAGTATAATAACTGAAATAAAAAATTTATTAAAGGTATTCAAGAGCAGATTTGAGCAGGTAGAAAAACGAATTGATGAACTTTAAGAAACGACAATTAAAATGATCAAGTCTGAGGAGCAGAAAGAAAAAAGAATGAAGAATTACCATATGATCCAATAAGTCTATTTCTGGGTATATACTTAAAATAATTGAAACAGGGATTCAAACAGATTCTCATATGCCAATGTTCACAGCATAATTATTCATAACAGTCAAAAGATAGAAACAACCCCAATATCAGTCAATAGATGAATGGATAAAGTTTGGTAACATACATACAATGGAACATTATTCAGTCTTGAAATTTTGACACATGCTACAACAAAATGAACCTTGAAAATATTATGCTAAGGGAAATAAGCCAGACACAAAAGGACAAGTATTGTTTAATTCCACTTATGTCAAGTATCTGAAATAGGCAAATTTATACAGACCGAAAGTTGAAGAGAGGTCATCAGGGGTTGGCAGGGAGGGGAATGGAGATATTGTTTAATACGTCCAGACTTTTTGTTTGAGATGATCAAAAAGTTCTGAAAATGGATAATGTTTATGATTGAGTGACATGAATGTACTTAATGCAGATAAACTGTACGCTTAAAAATGGTTATAATGGTAAATTTTGTTATATATATTTTACCAGAATTTTAAAAAAGTACAAAAGAGAAAAAGAAAAAAAAGATGTATAAGAGAAAAGCACCCAAATACTCACCAGTTCTAGCTGCTCACCAGCAGATGCAGCTTTGCCAAAATCTGCATTGTCATGGGAAAATGGTCTTTTGGAGGTTTCGCCCACCCCAGAATCTTCACCTGTTGTAATCCAAGAATTGTGCATGTTTCCCTAAAATAAAATGTGCCAGTAACTGCAACTGAATTCAACTTTAAATAAACATGCATATTTTACAAATAAAATACCTATTCTTACCTATGATGAAAAGAAAAAGCATATGCTTCTACACTACAGGTCAAGAATCACTTCACATTTTCAGGCTATTAGGGTCATATTCTACAAGTGTTGCAAAGTAAAATTCCTTCAGGTACAGGCAGTAATCTAAATATGGGCAAAGAGGGCTAGATTTCAGCGCATTCAACAAATGGAATTATTCTTTACTCCTCTGAAGACATATACTCTTGAAGCACACACCTCTCTCTTAGTTTGTCTTTCATGTTCCATGTTTCATAAATGCATGGCTAATAATAATTTTTATCAAAATGCTGCTTTCTATGTTCCAGACCCTGTTTTATGTATGTCATATATATTAACTCATTTAATCATTACAGTTCTATGGGATAGATAGGTTTCATTGTTGCCTCCATTTTATACAGGAGGAAACTGAGTCACATAGAGTAGCTGAGGGTCACAGAGGTAGGAAGTGGCTAATAAGTGGCAGCACTAGAATCTGAAACCTGTCAATCTGAATCCAAATATATATGTGGTCTCTGTCCCTGGTTCCTGACACAGAATTCCTAAAACCCTGTAATTTCCTGAGTGACATGGGTGATAGGAGCATCTTTCGTTAAAATATTTGGTCTTAGTCCCGGGTTTCTGACACAAGTGCTTCTAAGACCCTTAGGATCTCCATGGTGATAAGAGTATCCTTTCGTATGCTAATAAGATGACTGGTGGCTGCAGTCCATGATTAGAAGACTAGAACTTACAGCCCCACTCCCCCACCTCAAGGGGGGAAAGGACTGGAGATTGACTTAATCGCCAACAGCCATTGATTTAACCAATCATGCCTATGTAATAAAACCTCCATAAAAATCCTATATGATGAAGTTCAGAGAATTTCTGGGTTGGCGAATGCATCCACATGCCAAGAGGGTGGTGTACCCAAACTCCACAGACAGAAGCTCTTCTACTTGGGACCAGCCTGGACCCTGCCCTACGTGCCTTTTCAGTTGGCTGTTCATTTATATCCTTTATATAATAATAAACCAGTAATAGCAAGCAAAGTGTTTCCCTGAATTTTGTGAGCCATTATAGCAAATTATCACACATTAGGAAGGGATTGTAGGAATCCCCAATTTACAGACAAATCAGACAGAATTGTGGATAACCAAGAGACCTACTATTTGCAGTTGGTATCTAAAGTAGCAGGCAGTCATGTGGTACTGAGCCCTTAACCTGTGGGTCTGATACTGTGTAGTGAGTGTCAGAATTGAATTGAATCACTGGACACCTAGTTGGTATCTACAGAGAAACAGAGAATGGCCAGGTGTAGGAGAAAACAAACCCAAACATTTGGTGTCAGAAGCATTATGAGAAAAAGGAACAGTTTTTTCCTTTAAAGTCCTTTATTATTACGATCTTCTGCCTTTCCAGAAAAATATTTATCTTCAGTAAAAAGAAACAGTGCATGTATGGTGATAAACAGAGTTGACATGCAGCCTGCATGCCAGGGATTCAAAAAGGAAGAAGAGTAGGCTCTGTGACAAACCACAGAAATGTGTACCATCCAAAGGAAGCAGCCACTACTCAATTCCAGTCAATCACTGCCATGTGGCAGTGAAAATTCATATTACCAGATATCTGGTCCTTCATGTGAAACACTATTAAACACTGGCTCAAAATTTATCAAACAAACCAAACATGCCTGAGTTGAATTTAGTGTACCCATTGTTAGTTGCAACCTCTGTCACCCTCTCAACATTCAATGTAGTAAGCAGCCCAATGATCTGGGGAATTTATGTGTACAAGAAGGATTAAAATACGTATATTAATTTAATTCAACAAATAATTATTGAGCACTTGCTAAGGGCCAAAGGATATGGTAGTAGTCACAAGACAGGACAGGTCCCCAGACACTGACCCATACTGCAGTGTCGCATCATGCTCGAACGTGGTAAACTACATTCACCTAAAGTAGTACTCTGACAGTCTATTTTATATTCTTCTGGAAGTTCAGTTTAGTGCAAACATTTGTGTAACACCTATGGTGTTCAGACACTGTGCTAAGAGCTTGGAGGACAAAAATGAGCAAGATCAATCTTAGCTCCAAGGAGTTTACAGTCTAATAAGGGAGACACACACCTAGGCAGGTAATTTCAATTTAATAATGTGAGTGCTAGGCCAAAGGTGTGCACAGGGGCCTCTGCCAAAACACAGGAGGGATACTAAGGGCACCCAGAAATCCAAGGAAGGTTTTCCAGAAAAAAATTGACACTGGTGTGGTATCTTGAAGGATAAGTAAGGGTAAGCTAGATGGAAAGGGCATTCGAAGAAGAGAGAACCTCATGATAAACATCACAGAGGTATGGAATAGCATGGTGCCTGCAGGGGGGTCTCAGAAAATTCAGCATTACTAGACGTCAAAACATAAGGTGATGAATGTCAGAAGATGAAGCTAAAGAATCAAGTAAGGGACTTGAGAGTATACCACACCATGGAATGAGTCTGCACTTGATTCTCTCGGTAGAGTCAAATCCCCTAAGATATGATTGCATTTAAAGTTGTTTTTGAGATCAATGAAGGAGGGTGGTACTAATTTTCTATGGAGAAATTGGAGGGAGCATGTAGACCACAGATCACTAACTTATGATATAAAATATTATCATTCTTTGGAAAGAATTGCTAGTCTAACGGACATTTTGTTCTTTCACAGATAGTTTTAAAAAACTTGAATGCTACTTAACCAAGATGTTTTTAAAAACCTAAGTATGTTAAATCCTTGAAGATCATTCAAAACCTTTGATTTCTTAATTGGGTGGCAGGGGATCGGGGGGCGGGAGCGGTGGTAAGACAGGGGATGAAAACAAACGTGAAAAATATTGGCCGAGAAATTTTCTCCTTAAGAAAAAACTCCTGGATCTTTAAAGAAGGACACATGACAAAATGTTGAATAAATAACATGTTTTCGTATTATTTTGATTTTGTGAACTCTAGAGAAAAGCTTTCCATGAGGAAATATTTTATGAGAAGGCAAAGTGATGAAAAATCAGGACAGGAATGAAATATACTTTGAATGGCTTGCTTCTTTAACTTCTAGGTCATAAACTAGACCAAAAGTTGAAAGTCTTACAGGCTACCATCAAAGTCCAGGGCTACAAGCAGGAGACAATAAAAAGGAGATTCTTCTCTTTTCTGCCAGGGAAAACTTCTATCCTCTGCAAACAAAGATGGTTTGGTTCAATGTCGACAAGCTCTTCCTAACTTATGCAGAAAGGCGGTATAATTTAAGGTTCTACGGGGTGTATTTAGAGAATTAGATAGTCCTGGGTTTGAATCCTTGCTTTGCCATTATCTAGCTCTGTGACATTAGGCCAATTACTTAGGTTACTTAACAGCTGTGTACCTTAATTTACTCCTCTGAAAACAGAGATAATAACACCTGCCTTGTGTGGGTACTGCAAATCTGAAGTAATATAACGTAAATAGTTTGACACAGTGCCTCGCACATTATAACCATGTAGTCATCAATAAATGTTAGTTATTACTATATGAGATGGTTAATACTGAGTGTCAACTTAACTGGATTGAAGGATGCAAAGGATTGATCCTGGGTGTGTCTGTGAGGATGTTGCTAAAAGAGATTAACATTTGAGTCAGTGGGCTGGGGAAGGCAGACCCACCCTTAATCTGGGTGGGCACCATCTAATCAGCTGCCAGCGAATATAAAGCAGGCAGAAAAACATGAAAAGGTTAGACTGGCTTAGCCTCCCAGCCTACATCTTTCTCCTGTGCTAGATGCTTCCTGTTCTTGTACCTCAGACAGCGGGTTCTTCAGCTTTGGGACTCAGACTGGCTTCCTTGCTCCTCAGCTTGCAGATGGCCTGTTGTGGGACCTTGTGATTGTGTCAGTTAATAAGTTAATACTACTTAATAAACCCCCTTCATATATATATATTATATCATATTAGTTCTGTCCTTTGAGAGAACCTAATACACCATATAAATGTTTCAATTATCTTTTTTTTTTTTTTTTGAGATGGAGTCTTGCTCTGTCGCCCAGGCCAGAGTGCAGTGGCGCAGTCTCAGCTCACTGCAAGCTCTGCCTCCTGGGTTCACACCATTCTCCTGCCTCAGCCTCCCAAGTAGCTGGGACTACAGGTGCCCACCACCACGCCCGGCTAATTTTTTGTATTTTTAGTAGAGTTGGGTTTCACCATGTTAGCCAGGATGGTCTCTATTTCCTGACCTCGTGATCCACCCACCTTGGTCTCCCAAAGTGTTGGGATTACAGGCGTGAGCCACTGCGCCTGGCCACCTCAATTATCTTTCTTAAAAGGCATTATGAAACACTGAAAATCTATATTGAAATCAGCAAACTTCAATATAGCAAGGGAAGATTTAGCACCAACATTTTAATTGACTCATTACAAAAACCCCTTCCCCCCAAAAGAAGATATTTCTTGATTTTTTATATTTAAGATATCCTAAACATTTTTATTCATGTTACAACTTGTAACACAGCACCATGCATGTATTATTGAAATGTCTGGTTTTTTGTTTGTCTTGTTTTTATTGAGGCAAGGTCTCACTCTGTTGCCCAGGCTGGAGTGCAGTGGCGTGATCAGGGCTTACTGCAGCCTTGACCTCCTGGGATCCTCTGACCTCAGTCTCCAAAGTAGTTGGGACCACAGGTGTACATCAGCATGCTCGGCTAATTTTTTTTTTATTTTTAGAGAGATGGGGTCTCACTATGTTGCCCAGGCTTGTCTGGAACTCTTGGGCTCAAGTGATCCATCCGTTCGTGTGATCATCCTTCCAAACTGCTGAAATTACATGCGTAAGACACTGTATCTGGCCTTGAAATATTTCAATTCACTTACACAGGTAAAACGTGGGGGTAACAATTCAACAACAACAAATAACAGAAGATTAACATTAAAATAGATATCAAGGTCATCTGGCATATCTGCAGTAATCATTTCAATACCTGCATTATATTTAGCTCACATGAATGTTTAAAAAACAACAAAACCTCTCTAAAACCTTATCCTTTCTATGATTCTGACTGTAGTTTTGTTTAGCACATTTTCTTTGCTCATGCTGCAAGGCATGTGTGCTCTGACCATCATTTCCTTCCCCTTTTGCATTACTCATTTCTCTTGCCCTCTGATTCACTTGTCTGCCTAATTTCCTTTCTCACTTCACTTCCCCTTCTTCCACTTCTTTGGCATTACATAAATACTGAGGACTATGAATAATTGAATCACTGCTTGCTAAGTGACCACGTGTTTGGAAGAAAAGCAAATGAATATTTTTAAAATAAGCTACTTCTAAGTATTTTCTATATGGTGATATCTTCCTCAAATTGACATTAAAATCATAAGCAACTAAGATGGAGTTTTTACCACTAATAATTATACAAATCTTCAGGAAAAAGTTATACAGTGAGGAGAAAAGAACTGATCACAAACTTAAATGCAATTGCAGAAAATTAAACTGAAATACTAATTAGCCCACTTCATTTATCAGAGTTAATACACTCCTATACTTCTCAATAGCAAACCCTAACATATACAACTCCAGGATTATAAACCAACTATCAATTCAAGTTAAAAAAAAAAAAAACTTCAAAAACGAAAATTAGAGGATATCCCAATGAAACATCAAGACTTTCATGTTTTCTTAACAGCTGATTTACTAATGACGACAAAGTCAAAACCACCAAAGTAAACTGCAAAGTGAAGCTGGAATAGGCAAGTATGAAAACTTCCACATGGAAAGTTGAATTTGTCCCAAAAAGCAGAACAAGCTGTGACTATATCTTATAGCAAAACAGTTACAAAAAGTTTAAGACAAAAGTACTCTGATAAGTCATAAGATTTAAGCACTATTTAAATGTCACCACAATAATTCTCTGTCACAGAATTATAGAGATAATCTGACCCAACGTTCTTCAAACTCTGGGCCACTGACATTAGAATCACTTAGGCAACTTGATGAAAGTTTAGATTCCTAGAAGCCAACCAGACCAAGTGAATCAGACTCACAGGGGATGGAGTCCAGGAATTTGCACTGAAAACTCCTGGTATAGGTTAATCTTCTCAAATTACCAATAAAGAAATAAAGGACATACGTGATTAAGCTATGTAAAACCTTCTAAAATTACTTGCTAAACACCAGCCTTCTTAGGGAAATGGGAAGACTAACATTTTGATTCTTGGATCCTAAGGCCAACATTTTTTCTGCTACATCATGCAGCTAATTAGACTTATTAGATTTCAGACCTCAAGGAAAATTTAGAGAAATCCAACAGAAATCTAAGTTAAAGTTCTGAACGGTTTCTAGACTTAGCAAAGTCCTTCCTGTATAACACACTTCCTGCTTTCAGACCGGCTCTTTCCATATGGTAAGGCAGAAACGGTATGCTCAGAGAGGAAACTGTAGCAAAATATCACAAGATCGTTTCATCTGAGGATTCATTCCACCACAGTGAAGTTTGATATTTGAGGTCTCAAACAAATACCAACATAGTACTTTGGCCACACTTCAGGGAGAAAATCTAAGCAGCGAAGAAGGCGAGGAGAGAGGGCAGAAGGGAATATTCACACTAAAATAAAATTTATGATTTAAAATAATGCTCACGGATGCATCCAGAAGTGTTTGTTCCCTCAGTGTCTCCTCTTGTCTTTGAGATTTTAGCTGTTGCTGGAGCCCTTCGTTTTCAAGCACAACTACTTGTATTTTATTTTTCATTCCAGAGAGTTCCTCCTATAATAAACAAAACCAAACACATTAAGCATTATTAAGCAGTGTTTTTATTTGTTGATTATTAGAGGGCACAGCATGATATAAAGTACGGAAGACTTATGTTCTCCTTTTCCTGAAATATAATTATATGTTTAGACAAACAAGGCAGCCTAACATTAGCTAGATAACAAAGAGAAGGCTGGGGTATATAGTAATGGGCCTGCTGGTGGCATATCACAGAAGTGTGTCGTTTCTGACAATTTCCTTTTCTCCAAGGAATCGAGGCTCAAAGAAAAGCCTTAATTAAAAGGGTTATCCAAGAGATTTTAAAGAATGGAGTAGATTCTGAAAAATAAGATATATTATTACTCATGATCAAATACCATCAACTTGTTAAAAACTGATGGAAGATTAAATAGAGGGAGGCTCTGAGATAGAAAGGCATAGACGGGAGTGATGATTATCTATGAAATGGTAGCCAAATAAGAGAGAATTGTAGTAAAACATTTCATGGAGAATTGTGAAAGAGTATTTCCTTGGCCTCACAGGGTGTAATATAAAGAATTACAAATCAATAACAATTAAAATTACAGGATGTAACATAAGAAATTACAGGTCAACAATCATTAGAATAGCTATTGAGTGGCACCTCAGTCTCTGGAAAAACGTTTCAATAATATCAACATATCAATCATATAATACTTAACCTAATATTCACTACTAGTGCAATCAAAAGCTATTGTACAACATGTGAAAATTCCTCTCAATTATTATTTTTTAAAAACCCAAAGCTATAATAAAAAGCTGTAATTTAAAAAATATTGTGGACTTTGAATTTTCAGTCTGGAATGTAATGAGCTTGGAACACCTCACTCCCATCTTCCCAACAGGAAAAATGTTGAACAAACTGAAAATCAACAACTCTTCTTAGATCCATCAGAGAAATGAAGTCATAGGGAAAACTGCTGCCCCAAAACTGAAGAGATGGGTGGACGCTGAGACACAGAATTTACAGGAGGAAATCAGAAACCTCTGTAGGAGGTAGAAAATCTAAATCATAATTGATGACTTGCTGGAAGCTCAGTGTCAGCAAGTTTGAGAGTTAAAAATTCCAGACCGGGCGCGGTGGCTCACGCCTGTAATCCCAGCATTTTGAGGCTGAGGTGGGCAGATCATGAGGTCAGGGGTTCAAGACCAGCCTGGCCAATACGGTGAAACCCCATCTCTACTAAAAATACAAAAATTAGCCAGGTGTGATGGCACACGCCTGTAGTCCCAGCTACTCAGGAGGCTGAGGTAGGAGAATGGCTTGAACCTGGGAGGCCAAGGTTTCAGTGAGCCAAGATCACGCCACTGCACTCCAGCCTGGGTGACAGAGCGAGACTCCGTCTCAAAAAAAAAAAAATTCCAGGAAGACCCAGTCATAGAAGGACTGCCCCACTTCCCCAATTTTATCTCCAGGACACTACCAGGTTTTCACAGTAAAAACTAGAAAAAAATCCCCTTATGCAACCTAAAGGAAGAAGAAAAGCAGCCAGTTTGAAATATGCTTGGCATGTTGCATTCCTTGTAACAGGCCTGCCTCAAGGGAAACGACTTTACCAGAGCCTAACTGACTGGAGGGCTGCTGCCACCTAACCGGCCTAAAAAAAGAGAAATCCAGCTCCAGCCCCCTCTTGCATTCCGTGTGGGAGAGGGGGCCTCCGGCTTCCTCTAGCTATCTCGTCTAACTTAAAGGGCAGGGGAGACTGAGAAGCACTTGTGAACGTCACAGCCCAAGGCAAAGGCTTTACTAAAAGACTTAGATCTAGTCATAGGACTATTGAACGCTTCCCTCTACTCCCACATCTAACGACCACATCACTATGGCTCCCGTATACTGACAGAGAAATTCAACAGAAAGAACTGCATATCTCAGACTATATTTAGGAAGAACTCACTAGGGTAATCCATAGACAACAGAAGAGACAAGACCAGGACACTGAAGGAAATTTTAGCCTCTGACATGTACGGTGACAGCAAACACAGCCTAGCTTCCAGCCAGATAAACATAAAAGCTCATGCTAAAGGCCTACTTACCTCAGTTCCTTTTACCAAATATGTCATGTCCAGCATTCATCAAACAATTACAAGACATGCTAAAAGACTGAAACACAGTTTGAAAAGATTTAACAAGCATCAGAAACAGTCTGAGATAAGGCAAAGATGTTAAAATTATCAGACCAGGAATTTAAAATAATTATGATTAAGGCCAGGCACGGTGGCTCACACCTGTAATCCCAGCACTTTGGGAGGCCAAGGTGGGAGGATCACCTGAGGTCAGGAGTTCGAGACCAGCCTGACCAACATAGTGAAACCCCATCTCTACTAAAAATGCAAAAAAAACTAGCCGGGGGTGGTGGTGCATGCCTGTTATCCCAGCCACTCGGGAGGCTGAGGCAGGAGAATCACTTGAACCCAGGAGGCAGAGGTTGCAGTGAGCCAAGATCACGCCACTGCACTTGAGCCTGGGCAACAGAGTGAGACTCCGTCTCAAAATAAATAAATAAATAAAATAATTATGATTACTATGTTAAGGTCTCTAATAGAAAAAATAGACTATATGCAAGAACAGCGGGGTAATATAAGCAGAGAGATGAAAACTCTATGAAAAGAAAATGCTCAAAATAAAAAACTATTAACAGACATGAAGAGTGCCTTTGAAAGGCTCATCAGTAGACTGGATATAGCTGAGGAATGCATTAGTAAACTTTAAGAATTGTCAATAAGAATTTCCAAAAAAGAAGTGCAATAAGGAAAAAAACTGAAGACAGAAAAATTATACAAGAACTGCAGTACAATTACAAATTGTGTAATAAATATATATATATACATGTATATATATATATATAAATAAACAGGGACACAAAAAAGGAAAGAAAGGAAAAGAAGAAACATTTCAGTCAATAATGACTGAAAAATTTCCTGAATTAATGACAGGCACCAAACCACAGATCTAGGAAGCTCACCGAACACCAAGCAGGATAAATACCCCCCAAAAATACACTGAGGAATATCATATTGATACTGCAGAAAATCAAAGACAAAGAGAAAAATCTTAAAATAAGCCAAAGTAAACAAACAAACAAAGAAAACCCAAAAATCAGGCCGGGTGCGGTGGCTCATGCCTGTAATCCCAGCACTTTGGAAGGCCGAGGCAGGCGGATCATGTGAGGGTCAGGAGTTCAAAACCAGCCTGGCTAACATGGTGAAACCCTGTCTCTACTAAAAATACAAAAATTAGCCAGGTGTGGTGGCAGGCACCTGTAATCCCAGCTACTCGGGAGGCTGAGGCATGAGAATTGCTTGAACCCAGGAGGCAGAGGTTGCAGTGAGCCAAGACCTCGCCACTGCACTCCAGCCTGTGCTATAGAGCGAGACTCAGTCTCAAATAAATAATAATAATTAAAAAACAAAAATCAAACAAACAAAAAAACAAAAACCTTACCTACAAAGAAGCAAGGATAAGAATTACCTGGGAGTACTTTGCAGAAGCCGTGCAAACAGGAAGAGAATAAAATGAATCTAATTTTTAAAGTGTTAAAAGAAAAAACCCACCAACCTAGAATTCTGGATTCAGCAAGATTAACCTTCAAAAGAGAAAGAAAAATATTTTCTTAGACAAACAAGAATTGATGGAATTTATTGCTAGCATATATGCCTTGCAAGAAATGTTTAAAAAAGTTCTTCAGAAAGGAGAAAAGGTGATAAAGTCAGAAACTGCCATCTACATAAAGAAAAAAAGAGTATTAAAGAAGGAATAAGTGGATATAAGATAAAATATTTTCTTATTAATTTGACAGATGACACTTTGTGTTCAACATCATAATTGCAATAGTGTTTGTAGTAATTTTAGTTTATGAATAACTGAAGTTAATGGCAGAAATGTTATAAAGGATGAGAGAGGGCTTGGGAATTCTGTTATAAGCAATTTATACTATTCAAGAAGTGGCATAGGTTTACTTGAAAGTAAACTTAAGTTAGTTATAAATATTTACTGCAAATAACAACAGCATCAATCAACGGCTACCAGCAAAGAAAAAAAAAAAGAAGTACAATTGATCAATTGATATGTGAATTGGAAAAAAATGCAATCATACAAAAATTAGCTGGTTGTGGTGGCTCACCTGTAGTCCTAGCTACTAGGAAGGCTGAGGCATGAGAATTGATTGAACCCAGGAGGCAGAGGTTGCAGTGGGCCAAGATGGAGTCACTGCACTACAGCCTGGGCGACTGAGAGAGACTCTGTCTCCAAAAATAAAAAATAAAATGCAATCATATAAAATGCTCAATCAAAGCCACAAAAGGGACAGGTGCAGTGGCTCACACCTCGTAAGCCCAGCACTTTGGAAGGCTGAGGTGGGAGGATCACTTGGGGCCAGGAGTTCGCCACCAGCCTGGGCAACATAGTGAGACCCCATCTCTGTAAAAAAACATAAAAATTAGCCAGGCATAGTGGTGCATGTCTGTAGTCCTAGCTACTCAGCAGGGAGGCGGTAGGAGGACTGCTTGAGCCCAGGAGTTCTAGGCTGTAGTGAGCTTTGATTACGTCACTGCCTAGGTAACAGGGCAAGACTCTATCTCTAAAAAAAAAAAAAAAAAAGCCAGAGAAGGCAGAAAAAGAGTGAATTTTTTTTAAAGAAACAAAAAATAAAGACAATGAAGATAATAGTAACAAATGTGTTATACATTGATCCAATCATAACAATAATCTCTTTAAATATAATGGTCTGAATATACCAACTAAAAGATAGAGACTGTCAGAATGGTTAAAAAAAAGAACAATAAACTATATGTTGTCTACAAGAAGCCTATAATAACTGGGCAAGGTGGCTCATATCTGTAATCCCAGTTACTTGGGAGGCTGAGATGGGAGGATCCCTTGAGCCCAGGAGTTCAAGACCAGCCTGAGCAATATAGTGAGACCCCATCTCTAACCAAAAAAAAAAAAAAAGAAATCTCAAAACAAAAAAAAAAGCCAATTATAAATACGAAGACACAGATAGATTTAAAATAAATGAAGAAAGATGTATCATGTTAACACTAATCAATAGAAAGTTGGAGTAGCAATATGAATTTTAGACAAAGCAGACTTCAGACCAATGAAAATGATCAGAGATAAAGAGGTACATTACATGATGATAAAGAGGTCCATTCACCAAGAAGACGTTACAAGTCTTAATGTATATGTGCCTAATAAAAGTGTATCAAAATGTATGAGGCAAAGGAAAACACATGAATCCACTATTACAGTTGGAAATTTCAACATCCCCTGTCAAAAATTATAAAAATCACAAAGGGCACAATTGAAATGAACAACAGCATCAATCAACTGGATCTAACTGACATTTATAGACTACTTCATCCAAGAACAGCAGTACACACGTTTTCTTCAGGCTCACACAGAACATTCACCAAGACAGACTACAATGTACAAACCTTAACAAATTTAAAAGAATAGGAAAGTATGCTGTCAGACAACAATGGAATTAAACCAGAAATCAATAACAGAACGATAGCTGGGAAACTCCCCAAATACTTGATGATGACACAACACTCTTCTAAATGACACACATGAATCAAAGAAGTATCAAGAGCCATTTAGAAATATTTTCAACTAAGTAAAAATTAAAATACAACTGATAAAAAGCTATATACTTATTAAAAGGATGCAGCAAAAGGAGTGTAAAAAAATTAGAAAAGAAGAAAGATTTCAAATAAATAATCTAAGCTTCTACTTTAGAAGTTGCAAAACCAATAGCAAATTAATTCCAGAGTAAGCAGAAAAGAACATATAATAAAAATTAGAGTAAAAATCAATGAAATTAAAAATAGAAAATCAACAGAGAAAAACAACAAAACCAAAAGTTGGGTCTTTGAAAAGATGAATAAAATTGATAAGACTATATACAGGTTAAGAAAAAAAGAGAAAATATCAATTAGATTCTATCATATACTAAGATCAGAAGTGAAAATGGGGCTATCACTACTGATCCCATGAACATTAAAAGGATAATAAAGAAATGTTTAAAAAACAGGATAACAAAGAAATACTATGAACAACTCCATGATCATGAATTTAGTCACCTAGATGAAATGCACCAATTCTTTGTAAGACACAATCCATGAAAACTCACAGAGGGAGGAATAGATAATCTGAATAAACCTATATTTATCAAGAAAATTAAATCAATAATTAGCAACCTTTCAAAACAGAAAGCACCAGGCCCAGGTAAGTTCACTAGTGAATTCTATCAAATATTTAAGAAAGAAATTATACCAATTATCTATAATATATTTCATAAAATTCAAGAGGAAGTATTTCCTAACTCATTTTATGAGGCCAGCATTAACCTAATACCCGAACCAAGTGAAAACATTACAAGAGTGGAAAATTACAGATCAATATGTCTAATGAACATAGATGAAAAAATCCTCAATAAAATACTAGCAAATCAAATCCAACAATGTAAAAAAGAATTATACACCAGGATAAAGTAAGATTTATTCTAATTACACAACATTGGTTCGACATTTGAGGATCAGTTAATGTAATCCATCATATCAACAATGTTGAGAAGAAAAATCATAATTTTAACAGTAGAGGCAGGAAAAGCTTTTGACAAAATGCGGCAGCCATCTATGATAAACACAGATGGTCCCTGACTTGTGATGGTTTGACTTATGATTTTTTTGACGTTATTATGCTGCAAAAGCAATATGCATTCAGTAGAAACCATAATTCAAGTTTCAAATTTTGTTATTTTCTCAAGCTAGCAATATGTAGTATAATATTCTCTCATGATGCTGGGCAGCAGCAGTGGCAGTGAGCTGTAGCTCCCAGTTAGCCATGCAATCACAGAGGTAAACAACCAATAATCTATAGTATATTCAATGCATTTTCAACTTACAACGAGTTTATCAGGACGCAATCCCATTTTAAGTCGAGAGGCATCTGTACTCTCAGTAACTAGGAATAGAGGAAACATTCTCAACTTGATAAAGAACATCTACAAATAACCTATAGCTAATATACTTTATGGTAGGAAAGTAGTTTCCCACTAAGATCAGGAACAAGGCAAAGATGGCCCCTCTCACAACCATTCAACATCATTCCAAAAAGTCTTAGCTAATGCAATAAGACAATTAAAAAAATAAAATCTGGCTGGGCACATTTGCTAAAGCCTGTAATCTCAACACCTTGGGAAGCCCAGGCAGGAGGACTGTTTGAGCCCAGGAGTTCAAGACCAGCCTGGGCAACATGATGAGACCTCAATTCTACAAATAATAATAATAATAATAAAATAGCCAAGCATGGTGGTGTGCACCTGTGGTCCCAGCTACTAGGGAGGCTGTGGTAGGAGGATCACTTGCGCCCAGGATGTCAAGGCTACAGTGAGCCATGATTATGCCACTGCACTCCAGCCTGTGCACTCCAGCAAGACCCTTCCTCAAGAAAATTAATTAAAATAAATGAAAAATTTAAAAAACACAAAATCTAAATATATTGGAAAGGAGAAAATAACACTGTCTTTCGTTTGCAGACAATATGCTTGTCAATGAGGAAAATCCCAAAGAATCAACAAAAAATGCTGGAACTAATAAGTGACTTATACCAAGGTTGCAGAATACAAGGTCAATATACAAAGTCAATTGTTTTCTTCTATATTAGCAATAAATAATTGGAATTTGAAATTAAATACATAATACCATTACACTAAAAAATAAAATAGGTGGCTGGGCACAGTGGCTCATGCCTGTAATCCCAGCACTTTGGGAGACCGAGGCGGGTGGATCACGAGTTCAGGAGTTCGAGAGCAGCCTGGCCAACATAGTGAAACCCCATCTCTATTAAAAATACAAAAATTAGCCAGGTGTGGTGGCACACACCTGTAGTCCCAGCTATTCGGGAGGCTGAGGCAGAAGAATTGTTTGAACCCGGGAGGCGGAGGATGTAGTGAGCTAAGACTGCAACATTGCACTCCAGCCTGGGTGACAGAGCGAGACTCCACCTCAAAAATAAAATGAAATAGGTATAAATCTCACAAAATTTGTAGAAGATCTATTTGAGGAAAACCACAACACTGATTAAAGAAATCAAAGAAGATCTAAGTAAATAGAGATATTCCATGTTCATGGATAGGGATACTCAATAGTATCAAAATGCCAGTTATTCCCAACTTGATCAATAGATCCAACACAATTCCAATCCAAATCCTATTTTGTGGATATCGACAAACTGATTCTAAAGTTTACAGGGAGATGCAAAAGTCCCAGAATACTCATCACAATATTGAAAAAGAACAAAATTAGAGTACTGATATTACCCAACTTCAAGACTTAATGTAAAGCTACAGTAATCAAGATAGAGTGATAGTGGCCAAAGAATTGACAAGTTAATCAATGGAACAGGAAAGCCCAGAAATAGACCCAAAAATATGGACAACTATCCTTCAAACATGATCTAAATGTAAAATAAACAATTATAAAATACTAGAAGAAGAAAGGAGAAAATATAGTGAACCTGGATTTGGTAATAAATTTTTAAACACAAAGTTAAAAGTACAATCTATGAAAGAAAAAAATTGGTAAGTTAAACTTCATTAAAATTAAAAATTTCTGCTCATTGAAAGATACTGTTAAGAGAAGTAAATGCCAAGTCAAAGACTGGGAGAAAATACTTGAAAAAGACATATCTGATAAAGGACTGGCATCCAAAATACAGAAAGAATTGTTGAAACTCAACACTAAGAAAACGAATAACCTGATTTTAAAAATGGGTGAACGACCTGAACAGACACCTCACTCAAAGATGTTACATAGGTGGAATATAGGCATAGGAAAAGATGCTCAGCATCATTTGTGATCAGGGAATTGAAATTAAAACAGCAATGAGGTTCCACTACACATCTATTAGAACAGCTAAAATCTAAAACACTGACAACACCAAATGCTAATGAGGATATGGAGTATTAGGAACTCTCATTTACTGCATAATGCATAACGGTACAACCACTTTAGAAAAGTTAGGCAATTTCTTGCAAAGTTAAAATTAGTCTTACCATATGATGCAGAAATTGAGCTTCTTGGTATTTACTTTAAAGAGGTAAAAACAGATGTCCACACAAAAACTGACACACAAATGCTTACAGTAGCTTTATTCGCAATTGCCAAAACTTGGAAGCAACAAAGATGCCCTCCCATAGGTGCACAGATAAAAAAGCTATGGTATATTCATCTAATTGAATACTACTTAATAATAAAAAGAAATGAGCTATCAAGTTATGAAAAGACAAGGAGGAAACTTGAATTCATATTACTAAGTATAATAGGCCAGTCAGAAAAGGCTATATACAGAATAATTCCAAGTATATGACATTCTGCAAGTCAAAACTATGGAGAGAGTAAAAAGATCAATGGTTGCCAGGGGATGGGAGGGAAGGGGCGGAGGGGAAGAGGGATGAATAAGTGAAGCGCAAGAGGATGTTTCAGACAGTGAAACTATTCTATATGATACTGTAATGGTGGATATATGTCATTATACACTTGTCAAATTCGTAGAATGTATAACACAAAGCTAATGCAAACTGAGAGACTTAGATAATAATAATTTAACAATAGTGGTTCATCAGTTGTAACAAATGTGCCACACTGATGCAAGATGTTAATAACAAGGGAAACTATTAGGTGAGGGATGTCACTGAAAGGAGGATACAGGACTCTATGTGTTTGCCATTCAACCTTTCTATAAACCTAAAACTGATCTAAAAAATAAAGTCCATTAACTAAATAAACAAAATCTTTCTAAACCACTTAAACATTATTTTAATTCTATTCTTCTCTTACTAAAATGTATCAAATTTACACTCTGTCTGACAGTCAAGGCTTCCGTAATCTTCCATTTTACCAGTTCAGGATTACTTTCATTATTTCTATGAGACATTCTCCACTGCAGGAAGATAAAGTAGATGGCTTATGGCCCCCACAAACCATATTCATCCTGAATACTGTGTTTCACTGTTGCCATTCTCTTTATGAAACTCATCTCCCTTCTGCTGATCTAAATGATCCTATTCCTTTAAGACTGGTTTAGGCCGGGCATCGTGGCTCATACCGGTAATTCCAGCACTTTGGGAGACCAAGGCGGACGGATCACGAGGTCAAGAGATCGAGACCATGCTGGCCAACATGGTGAAACCCCGTCTCTACAAAAAATACAAAAATTAGCTGGGCGTGGTGGCGCAGGCCTGTAATCCCAGCTACTGGGGAGGCTGAGGCAGGAGAATAGCTTGAACCAGGGAGTCGGAGGTTGCAGTGAGCGGAGACTGTGACACCGCACTCCAGTCTGGCGACAATGCGAGACTCCATCAAAAAAAAAAAAAAAAAAAAAAAAAAAACATTGGTTCAAGATCTCTCTCTCCCATAGAAACATTCCCAAAGACAGTAGCTTTTCCTAACCTTCTTCTCTTATTATAATTATAGCTTATACCAAAAAGTAAAGGCCTATACTATGTTCTCTAATGTGCTCCTTATGGTGTTAATAGGGAATAGTTCTGTCTTCTCAACTAGATAGTAAATTTATTCTGCTTTATATCTTTCAAGTTTTATCCACAACATCTTAGGGATTAATAGAGTATTGTTAATGAAATAGTTCCTAGGATATTATTTCAGCTTTACTGGTAATCCAGGACCACGTGTATATTAATAACTGTGTCCTCCAAGAACAAACAGGAAATTACATGTTAAGATCAGAAACTCCCCGGTAAAATCAGGACAGTGAAACATCTAAAGCCTCCTTAAGTTACATACTGGCCTTGCATCTTAAAATGTCAACAATATAATACATAATATCATATACTATATATAAAAACATGATACAAGAGATATCAGTGATTCCTATAAAAATATCATACAATCGAATACACTGATACTAGAAAGAAAGAAAGAGGGAGGGAAAGAAAGAAAGAGAGAAAGAAACAGAAAAAAAAAAGTAAAACACGACATACTTCGGGAAGATGAAAAGGCTCTATTAGCATTAATGACATTAGCAAACTGCACGCAGTTGAGCATATAACCTTCTAGTGTCATAAGCTATATATGATGTGTTTGGTTTCTTGATCATTACTGTCAGTACCCTATGAACCATTCTCATTCAAAGTCAAAGTAAGAGCCTTAATACTGACAGCGGAGAAGAATTGGTCTACCAGTTTAGAATCCCTGATTGCTGTACCACTGCTCCAGTAGGTTGACAAGTATGGGAGAATGATTGGTATTTGTATTCCAAAGCATTTGCCATTTGCTGGGCTACAGCAAGCGGGGTGAGAAGGAAAACTTCTGAAATATGAAAGCATATTATGAAATCATTAGACATAGTAATGAACTACTGGGAAATCAAGCAATCAGAAATGGTATGGTCAAGAGCATCATTCCCAAGTCTGACAAGCTCTTGTGACACATCAGTCTCTCAATCACGTAAGAATAGCAATTGTCAATGTATTGCTACAAACATGAAGATTTATAGCAGCAAATTTTAATACAATCTATAGTTAATATAAGCTTTCATTTATTTAGTTTTAAATTCTTAATGAGAAACTTACCTTGCAGAACTTAACTTCTGCCTCTAAATGATGAATATATTGAGACTGGTCATTAATAGTATGAACAAGGTCGTGCATAGTAGGCATATTGGTTTCCTCATGTTCTAATGACCTCTATGACAAAAAATAAATAAATAAATACATAAATACATAAATTTTAAAAAGCCAAATTAAGCATGTTTGGATTTAGCAAAGAATCAGTTGTTACCTTCTCCATACTCAATTTTGCACTGATGTGATATAAACATAGAATCGATCACAATGTAGCTTATAGTCTTGATATAGTTTGGATGCTTGTCCCCCACAAACCTCAAGTTGAAATGTGGCCCCCAGCATTGGAGGTGGGGCCTGGTGGGAGGTGTTTCGGTCATGATGAATGAATCTTGGTGCTATCCTCATGATAATGAGTTCTTGCTCTGAGTTTTGGTGAGATTTGGTTGTTTAAAAGAATGTGACACCTCTCCCACTTCTTGCTCTGGCTCTCACCACATGAAATGCCTGCTCCCCTTTCACCTTCCACCATGACTGAAAGTTTCCTGAGGCCCTCACCAGAGTGAGATGCCAGTATCACACTTCCTATACAGCCTGCAGAACCATGAGCTGATTAAACCTCTTTTTTAAATAAATTACCCAGCCTCAGGTATTTATTTTTAGCAACACGAGAATGGACTAATACAAATACTTGCTTCTCTATCCTATAAATTCCACAAATACACAAGATTCATGGATGTGAATATCATTTTTTTTAAAGATGGATGGTGAAAGTGGTTATAAAAAGCACATATAGTGAATGGAAAAATGCTGGGGTAGCAGTAGTATAACTGGCTTGGAATAAACTATTTTAACAAATTGGAAAAACAACATTCCATTCAGTAATGCTGAGATACAAGGGACAACTCTCTCCAAGAAACTGCCATGGAAGAGGATTTGCTAGCTAAAACTGCAGCAGCTCCGTGAAGGAGAGATTCTTTAGGAAGCGTTTGATGCCAAGCCAGTGTCAATGCGATGAAATTCCATCTCAAAAAAGATACATTAGCAAAATGTAGTTTTTGATTTTTGGCTCTAGTATTGAAGGCAATTCAAGTGTATGGTGTTCTGGAGCATAGAACCTCCAAGAGTAGAACCCTAAAGTAGAGACACACTGCATTGAGGGGTCCAACGAAGAGATTTCAAAAAAACGCTAATGCTATTTTAGCTCTGTAGCATTCCTGGAACTGACTGTTAATGTATAGCTTACCTTATCCTAAAATAGTTTGTAAAATCATATACCCATCACATAATTTTTTTTTTAAAGGATGAGGAAATCAGGAAAAGGTAAAACAAGGGTCAACCAGTTAAACAAAGCCAGAGGAAAGCTTGAAATGAGGCACAGTGTCTGTTTCTCAGCCACTCTCTTTCTCAGCACAGCAGACATTTTAAATGATAATCAAGTACCAGCTATCATGGCAGAATAAAATAAAATAGAGCTTTGGTTTTTTGGTATATTTAAGAAATTTAAAAACCAAAGTAACTCTAATTAAATGAATTATCTGTCCTGAGTAGAAATCAAACAATTATAATCATCCTCCATTAATAGCAATAGGTTCAGAAGATAGGCAAATATAAATTACTACTATGAGTATACAGGAGGAAGTCAATGTGAAAAATAAAAAGCTCAAGCCAATATTGTATGAAAAATGTTCACATGAAATCATTTGTGTCTACTTTGAAGGGCTTTAGTTTAGATATCTACATTTTAAGACAATAAGTAATAACTTTTTTTCCATCTCAACAGTGCCTCAGTTTTACTCTCAATATATGCATGTATTTCTAATATGTTATACTGGCTATGAAAGTGCATTCTAAAGGTATAATCTTAAAAAGCTAATTATTACTATTATGGTTTATAATTATTACATGTAGGCTGTATACATATAGAGTCTAAGTTCCATTCTTTTACATAGCTCCATATAAATAGACTTGTGTATTTTAAAGTGCACTCTGTATGTACTAAACTGATTCTCTTAGTGAAGGTCTTCCTGCCTGTCTGGATTCAGTAAGCTCCATAATATCACTGCTCAGACTTTAAAAGGCAAATAAGCATGTCTGAGCATTCAACAGATAAAGCAACTTCATCTAGTAGATTTAAAAGCATTCCACCAGTCTGTGCTTAAGAGCAAGCTAGAAACCAGATGTCAATAGTAATAAATTCATTAAATGATGAGATGTTTTACTAAAATTATAAAATCTGTATCTATAAATTTAGAATATGCATATGAAGTACATTTCTCTAAAGTAGGAATTAAGCTTAAAAGTATGTGTCAGCCTGGAATGGAGTGTTCGTATGGGAGTGATACTCTGATATTTCAGTGGTGAAGAAAAGAAAGTGACATGTCTCCACACTTTTCAGCATACAGGCATTGTATTGAACTAGAAAACACATTGAAAATGTGAGGTGGTTACTTGCTGCTATGCATGTTATGTTTATGTAACACTTCATAGGTTTCTAAAGAATTTTAAGTATGTAATCTTATCTCATTATTCCAAAAACTCTGTGAGACAGGCACAATATCTTAGAGAGTATGTGATAGACCCTAGATAGAACTAAGCCCTTGACTATTATTTTGTCCACTTAAATCTGGTCCAGAGTGCTTTCACTCACATCTATCTCAGCCTTTAGCATATAAAATGCTTTAATCAGAAATAATACACTCTGTCAAAGCAATAACAAACAACTTCAGAAGAAATACAGCACCACTTCTTATATATCATACTATTTTATAACCATATATTTTAACATATAGAACATTACATATTAAAACGTATTATTTTGAGGCCAGGCGCGGTGGCTCACACCTATAATCCCGGTGCTTTGGGAGGCCGAGGCTGATGGATTTCCTGAGGTTCAGAGTTCGAGACCAGCCTAGCCAATATGGTGAAACCCCATCTCTACTAAAAATACAAAAAATTAGCCTGGTGTGGTAGTGCACATCTGTAAACCCAAATACTAGGGAGGCTGAGGCAGGAGAATCGCTTGAACCAGGGAGGCAGAGGTTGTAGTGAGGCGAGATCATGCCACTGCACTCTAGCCTGAGCAACAGAATGAGACTCTGTCTCAAAAAAATTAATTAATTAATTAAAAATAAAATGTATTATTTTGACACTCAAAATTTAAAAAATATTACAAAGTAGGGCTACAATTATAATTAAGTAACTTCTAAAAATGATCAATAATAGATATGACCCTCTAAAAAAGAAATTACTAAAATAATGACTTTATCTTTTACATATATTCTGACATATAATTTATTATATTAATTTATTATATATTATATATTTATATTACATATTTTGCTAACAGTTGCAAAATAAATTCTCCAAACTATTCCCTTGCTCCCATTTTCCAAGTGAATAATAAATTTAAAAAATCAAGATTCCCTCTGCCATGGAAATCTATTTTTTCAGCCAAAATAATCAGAGGGAAGAGAATTACTTTTAATGTTTTTCACTATTAGTATGCCATGCTTAAATTTTTTCTGCAACATGTACTACAAAATAACACAATACAGTAAAACACAGGAATGCTTTGTCAACTTGGAAAAGTTGATACTTACCAAGGGGGACATTTTTCTTCTTCTTGACGGAGATACTTCACTTTCCTTATCTGCTTGTTGGCGCAACAAATCTTTGAGCTGATTAACTATAGAGCAAAAGCAGAGGGTTTATTAACCTTATTTGAGATCCATGGTTTCTTACCACCCATCCATCCTTCCAACTAATAAAAATTGCTGATATATTATGCATCAAGAATTCTGCTATCAACTGGGGATACAAGACCAACATAAAAAAAAAAAAAGAATTTCTACCCCTTAAGAGCTAAGAATCTAGCAAGGAAGAGAGAGACACTAATAGATATAAAATAAGTTTGTATGTAGACCTAAAGCTATGCACAGTGCTACAAGAAGAGGAAGAAGCTAATTGTGCTTGTTTTCACAGAGGAGATAACACTGCAAGGATAAACAGGAAGGAGTTCACCAAGCAGAAAAGGATAAGAAAAATTCCAGTTAGAAGTCACTGCACATGTCAAAGCATAAAAGCATAGAGAGGAGGTTATTATAACTAGAATATGAGTTGTGAGATGGATGATTAGCATGAGAAGTACACAAAGATGAGCCGAAGAGGCAGGTTAGAGCTATCTTAGGAAAACACTGTTATTTTATAACTAAGAATTTTGGACTTTAGCCTATAAGCATTGGGAAGTCAAAGGAAAACAAGATTAAGCGAGGGAATTAAATTATCTGATTTGTGTTTGAGGAATAACATCATAGCAGCAGAATGAAGAATGAATGGAGTTATTATTCTACGGAGTTTAAAAAATTCACTATGCATCATTCAGACTAGGATTGACATTCACACTCACCAGCATGGCTCTGTTGTAATTCGGGCCAGGCTGTCCTGGCGTCCTCATTTCCCACACTGGTGCTAAAAGAAAGATTTGGTGCATCTTCTCCAATAGTGACATCGCCTTCTTTCAGGGCACATGTCAGTTGGTGAATGCTTCTGCTGGCATGTTCTGCAAGAACAACCTGACGAAAGTTAGGACCCATGGAGTCTGGTTGACCAAACGGACACTTACTCAGGAAGGCAGTTTTTAAAGGTGAAATCATTATTTCTCGTACTTTATGGAAAAAACGCAGAGTTCTGTTTCTAGCTTGCTGAGGGATGTGCCAAAGATGGTGAGAGAAGATTAACTTCATGGTTTAGAGGTAGGACTTGATGATCTCTAAGGCCCCTACCACTGTAGCAGTTGATTTCACTACATATAGCACCACCGGCAAGGATTAAATGACAGAACTCTTCCCACCAGCTCCCATTAAACAATAACTTGCTAAGGGAAGTGCTCTCCTTCCCACCATGCCTGACTCCTTTACCAACTTGGAGACAGAGGGGGACGAAAGGAGCAGTGGGGAGGTGGGAAGAGCCAGCAAAAGGGACTGCGTCACACCCAGTTCCAACCTAGGGAAGCCTCATTGTCCCTGGGGACAGGAAATCCCTCCCCCACCAAGAGACATCCACATGTCTGGCCTAGTTTTGATCAAAATTTGCATAGCTGAAGTGCTTATAGTGGCAGCCCCGGCGGTACAGCTCTTTCTATATACTGCTGGCCAACCACACCTCATAGATTCTTGGTTAGTGCAACTGACCACCCCTAGAACACACAAAAACTGTCTAAAATGAAGTATTTTAAGGTATATTACTGTGATAGTTCATCTCTAAAAATAGCCTCCAAGGGGTTGCAGCGAGCCGAGATCGCACCACTGCACTCCAGCCTGGCAAGAGAGCGAGACTGTTTCAGAAAAAAAAAAAAAAAAAAATAGCCTCCAAGGAACCCAGCCTCATTCCCTTGTTCTCTTCTAATCTGAAACTGACTGGGCCTGTAATCTGCATTAACCAATAGAATGCAATAAAAGTTATACCATGTCACACCCAAGCCTCATCTTTAAAAGGACTGGCAGCTTCTGCTTCCTCTTGGAATGTTTGCTTTTGGGAGCCCTAAGCCGCTATGTAAGATATCTGACTACCCTGCTGGAGAGACCTGTGAAGAGCATACGTGGAGAGGAAGAGAGAGGCCCTGAGACCCCATGAAGAAAGAGAAAAGCCCTCCCCGCACTGCACCCCGCTGCCCCACTCTGACAGCCCAGTCCTCCAGAGGACTCCAGCACCAGAGGCACGAAGAAAGAGAAAAGCCCTCCCCGCGCTGCACCCCGCTGCCCCACTCTGACAGCCCAGTCCTCCAGAGGACTCCAGCACCAGAGGCCCTCTAACTGCAATGGCACGAAAGAGACCTGATTCATTACCAACCATGTATAAAAATACATTTATAAACATATATTCTGTAGGACCTTGAAAAGCAGTTTCCATTTTGTCCAAGTGCACTGATTTCAAAGTTTGGAACAGAAACAAAAGCAATGTTAGTACTTAATAGAAAAAAAAAGTCTCTGTTATACAATATCTAATACAGTTTCTTTACTTGCAGCAACTCATTTTCTACTTTGATAAAAGAAAACATGTATTTCAGGTCAGGGTTCGACAATGAAATTCTATTACTCAACTATACAAGAGACACAGTTAATTTATCACCATATTTTTCTCCATACCAATCCTATGTCCACACAGATCTTTCTTTGAAATGAATTTGGCGCTGATTACTAATGAAAACTGGCCTCCTCTGACTCATCATGAGTTTAAGGAAGTTCAGATAAGACGCATTCCTGGTTTTGGGAATATATGAAACTGTGATAGTTTTACAATAACTTAGTATTAGAAAATAGAATAGAAAAGCGATTTGGTCATGGAAAAGGAAAATCAAAGTGTTACATGATAAGCAATTCAGTTCATGGAGCTTTAGATTTATGCCCTTAAATCCACGAATAAAACACTTATCTTTATTGAATCTATTAGAAAGGAACGAGACAGTTTGACTAACATAAAAATGTATTCCAGGTAAAAGCATTGCACCGTTGGTGATTACGGAAGAAACAGGAGTGTGGTGTGACCATGAGGAAGCAAAAGAAAATGAGGAACTATACAACCATGAAGCAAACGCTTAGTCTCAGAGATCAGAGGCTTAAAGAAAAGGATAGATTAAAACCTAAAGAGAAAGAAAAGAAGGATCCCAGCGCGTTAAAGGAAAGAGAAGTTCCGCAACACCTTTCCTGATTATTTTGCCAATATAATACACAGCTGGGCCCACCTTACCACATCCTCGTTGATACCAACTTTATCAACTTTTCCATAAAAGCCAAACTGGACTTAGTGCAGTCAATGATGGGCTGTCTGCATGTCAAGTGTATCCCTTGTATAACTGATTGTGTAATGGCTGAAATTGAGAAATTGGGGCAGAAGTATTGAGTGGCTCTAAGGATCGCCAAGGATCCAAGATTTGAACAATTACCATGTACACACACAGGAACCTATGCACATGACTGCTTAGTACAGAGAGTAACTCAGCCTAAGTGTGTGTAAGTGTTACATTGTGCCCACAGTTGACCGGGACTTTTTTTTTTTTTTTCTTGAGAGGGAGTTTGGCTCTTGTCGCCCAGGCTGGAGTGCGATGGCGCAATCTCGGCTCACCGCACCCTCCGCCTCTCGGGTTCAAGCGATTCTCCTGCCTCAGCCTCCCCAATAGCTGGGATTACAGGTACCTGTCACCACGCCCGGCTAATTCTGTATTTTTTTTTAGTAGAGACGGGGTTTCTCCACGTTGGTCAGGCTGGTCTCAAACTCCCGACCTCAGGTGAAATCCGCCCGTCTCAGCCTCCAAAAGTCTTGGGATTACAGGCGTAAGCCACCACGCCCAGTGACCGGGACCTTAAAAGAAGAATCCATAAGATTCCTGGAATTCCTATCATGTATATTTCTTTTTTTTTTTTTTAAGACGGAGTCTCGCTCTGTCGCCCAGGCTGCAGTGTAGTGGTGCGATCTTCACTCACTACAACCTCCGCCTCTCAGGTTCACGCCATTCTCCTGCCTCAGCCTCCCGAGAAACTGGGACTACAGTTACACGCCACCACGCGCAGCTAATTTTTGTACTTTTAGTACAGACAGGGTTTCACCGTGTTAGCGAGGATGGTCTCGATCTCCTGACTTTGTGATCCGCCTGCCTCGGCCTCCCAAAGTGCTGGGGTTACAAGCGTGAGCCACCGCGCCCAGCATTTTTTTTTTTTTTTTTTTGAGACGAAGTTGCACTCTTGTTGCCCAGGCTGGAGTGCAAGTAGTGCAGTCTCAGCTCACTGTGGCTCTGCCTCCAGGGTTCAGATGGTTCTCCTTCCTCAGCCTCCTGAGTGGCTGGGATTGCAGGCATGTGCCACAGTGCCCAGCTAATTTCTTTTTTTTTTTTTGTATTTATAATAGAGACAAATACTTTTGTATTTTTAGTACAGAAAAATACACCTCGGCCTCCCAAAGTGCTGGGATTGCAGGCATGAGCCACCGTGCCTGGCCTACTCACTTTTTGATGCTGTTTTGAAATTGATATTTTGTCTCATAAAAATTTTAGTCCAGGCACAGTGGCTCATGTCTGTGGTCCTGGGACTTTGGGAGGCTAAGGTGGGTGGATCACCTGAGGTCAAGAGTTCAAGACCAGCCTGAACAACGTGACAAAACCCCATCTGTACTAAAAATACAAAAAAGGTTGGCAGGTTGTGGTGTTGTGTGCCTGTGGTCCTGGCTGCTGGGGAGGCTGAGGCAACAGAGTTGCTTGAAGCCGGGGGGCGGAGGTTGCAGTGAGCCGAGATCACACCACTGCATTCCAGGCTGGGTGACAGAGTGAGACTGTCTCATAAAAAAAAAAAAAGAAAAAGAAAAAAAAATTCAGTGATGGTCAAAGGGTACAAAATCTCAGACAGGAAGAATATGTTTTATACTTTTTTTGAGTTCTATTGTACAGTGTGGTGCATATACTTAATAATGGAGTATTACACATTTCAAAATTGATGTTCTCATCACAGAAATGTATTGGAAGTATTGGATATGTTAACTAGCTTTATTTAATTATTCCACATTGTATCCACAATTTATGACATCACTTTGTAACCCATAAATTTATACAATTATAAATTGTCAATTTACAATAAAAAATTTTTGTTGCGTTTTTAAAGAAGAAATGTATTCCATGGAGCTTTCAAATGACTTCACCTCTAAGGCAAGGGATAATTATTTATTTATACCTAGTCTGAGTAAAAGCTAATAAACTATATTAGGAAAAAGAAAAAAAATATGGAAAGAATTTGCATAGTTAAAAGCCTCTGTAGGCAGAGTTCTTTCATCAGATTACAAGAAAGGCAGGAGTTTTTTTTTTTTTTGGAGACGAAGTCTCCCTGTTGTCCCCAGGCTGGAGTGCAATGGTGCGATCTTGGCTCACTGCAACCTCCGCCTCCCAGGTTCAAGCATTTTTCCTGCCTCAGCCTCCCGAGTAGCTGGGATTACAGGCATGCGCCACCACACCCACCTAATTTTTGTATTTTTAGTAGAGATGGGGTTTCACCGTGTTGGCCAGGCTGGTCTCAAACTCCTAACCTCAGGTGATCCACCCACCTTGGCCTCCCAAAGTGCTGGGATTACAGGAGTGAGCCACCATGCCCGGCCTAGGGCAGGATTTTAAGAGCACTTTTCATTCCTTTTCTAATGTTCTTGTTTAATCTTTTAGAATTTATAACATTCAAAGACTACATGTTAAATTGCACTATGAACATAATATTACGTGAAATAATGAGCTATTGAATTCAACAACTATCCCAAAGAAAAGTGACACACAAGGCTTTAGGGTTTGTTTGTTTGCAACTACTGATTTCAGAGTTACTAGGGTCAGAGAGGAAAAGCAGGAATTTGCAAGAACTGTGCCCTAAAACTAAAACTACAGAGTTGACATTTTAAAGTCATTTCAACGCTACATTTCAAAACATGCTAAGTGCTTTTCAAATACATAACAAACCAGCATAATTATATACTATAACAGATAAACACAGTTAATGTGAAGAAGAATAACACTCAGATGATTCAGGACAGATGAAATCCCATGGCTCTTCAACTGGAGCCATTGCAACTGAAGCCCCCATAATCCTTATTAAGAGCACTACTCCCCAGATGCAGTTATCTGCTCCTTACATTTAAGGAAACCAGATTAGACAGAAGGTTCCAGTTACCGTTTCCTATCCAACTGCTAATGGGACACAGCTTTATCTGTTTCTAACCAAGAGAGAGAACACACTCATTTCCTCTTCTCTCCTGAGAGGACAGTAAGGGTATTTCACAATGAATGCATCCTGATTTCTTTTCCCCAGCACCAACCAGGAACTGACTATAAACTTAACTATGACTACAGACACAAACAGGACCCCTGAGTCCTACAGATCACATGAACGTAAGTGCAAGTAGATAATATTTCTGCTAATGCACTATCCAAACATCAATCAGTACAATGAGCACTTAAAAGGTACCTGAGCTAATGGCTGCTAGCTAATTTCAGTCTGTCTTGTCCATTTTCTTTCTTCTTTTTTTTTTGAGATGGAGTTTTCGCTCTGGTTGCCCAGGCTGGAGTGCAATGGTGCAATCTCGGCTCACTGCAACCTCCGCCTCCCAGGTTCAAGCAATTCTCCTGCCTCAGCCTCCTGAGTAGCTGGGATTACAGGCATGCACCACCACACCTGGGTAATTTTGTATTTTTGGTAGAGACAGGGTTTCTCCATGTTGGTCAGGCTGGTCTCAAACCCTCGACCTCAGGTGATCCTTCCGCCTCAGCCTCCCAAAGTGCTGGGATTACAGGCGTGAGCCACCCTGCCTGGCCTGTATTGTCCATTTTCTTAGTAAGAGTTTCCCTACTTCCTATGTTCTAACTCTTAGGTCACCACTGGGCCTGTCTTCATCAAGATGTTTTTGAACAAAATGCAAGTATGTCTCAGTCTAGGAAGAATCACCACTTAAATACACACTATGAATTATTAATTTCTTCATTCTCCATCTGTCCTGGGAGATGTGAAAGAGAATTGCCCTGGTGACAGGGAGGGGGACCACTCCCTGCGAAGCGCCCAGCTGTCTCTGAGAGAATATGCAATGAACCATTCCTCCCGAGGCCGAGATATGAGATGCACTGCAGCTCCCAGCACAAGCTTTGATTAGGGCAGACATGCAGAAAAATAAAACCACAGTGAGATAAGAAATACATGTCTATCTACACTTGACTGGGCCTCAGCCTGGTTCAGAAGATTGCTGTCACTGTTTACTAGGGGACCAACAGGTAACACTACCAAGATATAAACAGCAGAATCAAAAAATCAGACAATGTCGGCTTTGTGAAAGGCAATTACAATTGTGAAAGAGATTACAAGTACTATGTAGAATACTTTTTTGTTTGAATCTCAAAGAAAATACTATCCTAAGACTCTAATAACTGAAAACATGCTAAAGTGGTTGGCGCCAGGAGTAAAAGATAATCTGATAAAGAATGTAAACATCTTAAGAAAGCAATGTCTGGAAGACCATTAAAGATATGTGGGTGTTGGCAAATCCAGGAGATTGGCTATATGCATTCTAAGGGATACACCTGGTATTTCTTTGGCATCAGTGGAGAGGACTGATGCACCTGTCACTTTCCACTGATAAAAGAAGTAAACCTAGCCAGGCTGGCAAAGAACATAGGTAAAATCACCAGCAAATACAATCTGTATATCCTTACTTGTAATTACTGTAAAGTAGGATTCTTGCAGATCAAGGGCTACAAGCAAAGCCTGTACTTCTAGATCGTGATTTCTCAACCTCAGCACTATTGACAGTTTGGACCTGATAATTCTCTTTTGGAAGGGGCTGTGTTGTGCCAGTTTAATAGCATCCCTGGCTTCTGCCTACCAGAGGCCAGCAGCACTCATCTCCACCCCCAATTGTGACAATAAAAAAAAATCAATAAAACAAGACAGTTTTCAAGTCAATAAAACGAGATCAATAAAACAAGAGTTTTCAGTGTTGAGGGGAGACTTGCTATCACTCTGACCACATTACATTGTAAGTGTTGCCGCCTCTTGATGGAAAATGAGCGTGACAGTGAGCTATTCTGCCACAGGAGTGCTGGTGGGGAGGACACAGCCTGAGACCGACAGTGCCATGATGGGACACATCTGATCCAGGTGTCAGGAATAGGTGTTATATCTATCAGAAGCAAGAGCTCAGATTCATATTTAGCTTTATTTTGTTTCAGGGCCTAAAAGCAATATTTGCCCTAAGGCCATCCCTTTAAGTATCCAGTGGGCTTTGATGAAGTTCCGCCATCATCAGGATTGCTTCAGCCAGTGCACAAGGGCATTTCTAGCTACCTTGTCTACTTTTGGACTCTGAGAAGAGTTATCATCAAGTAAAATGGTGAAAATCTTAGCACAAACTGGCAATGTGATCAGACCATAAGTCTTTAAACATCCCAGGAGAGAATATTATTACTCTCAGTATCTCAATAGTTTGAAAAAAACTTACTCTATACCTATTTCTGACAAAGAACATGAAAAAGTACCCCTACAATCTCCTAACACTGAAACATACCTTTGATTTAGATTATTCCAGGGATGACTATTTACTTGTAGAACACTCATTTCTTTTCTGGTTGCTAAATCCTGTCTTTTGCCAATTTTATCTCATCAGTAGTAGGAAAGAAAAATTGAGATTGTACTTTTAAGTTCTAGTAAAATAAAAGATCATAAAAGTTAAAGGCACTAAGAAGAGCCACATGAGGCCAGGCACAATGGCTCATGCCTGTAATCCCAGCACTTTGGGAGGCCAAGGCAGGTGGATCACTTGAGGCCAGGAGTTCGAGACCAGCCTGGGCAACATGGTGAAACCCTGCCTCTACTAAAAATAAAAAAATTAGCCGGGCGTGGTGGTGGCACCTGTAATCACAGCTACTCGGGAGGCTGAGGCAGGAGAATCGCTTGAACTCAGGAGGCAGAAGTTGCAGTGAGCCAAGATCACATCACTGCACTCCAGCCTGGGCAAAAGAATAAGACCCTGTCTCAAAAGAAAAAAAAAAAGTCGGGCACCGTGGCTCATGCCTGTAATCCCAGCACTTTGGGAGGCCAAGGCAGGCAGATCACCTGAGGTTGGGAGTTTGAGACCAGCCTGACCAATATGGAGAAACCCCGTCTCTACTAAAAATACAAAATTAGCCAGGTGTGTTGGCACGTGCCTGTAACCCAGCTACTCGGGAGGCTGAGGCAGGAGAATCGCTTAAACCTGGGAGGTGGAAGTTGCAGTGAGCTGAGATTAAAAAAAAAAAAAAAAGAAAAAGAAAAGCCACATGAATATATAAAACAAAAGATGAATATGTATAATTTGAATTTTATCAGCAAAAAACCCCTCATGTTTATGTGTGTATATTCCTATATAGTGCATATGGCAAACAATATTTAAAAATCCAGAAAATATTTGAGAAAAGCAAAAAAGAAATACAAGTTTTATAAGAAAACAGGAATACTTATTTGAGTTACACATATGTTTTCTTAAGACAGCCAGATGATATCACTGCTGGCTAATACACTGACCAAATTGTTGGCTAGTAAGACTAACACAGCCCTTCTACAATTGTGAGCCACTTTGCAGGATTTGGATAGATGTGCTAATCATATACAAGCAAAACATAGAAAGTCAACCTTATCTTTGGTTTTCTTGAACTACATCAATTCGTAAAGACAAGGCCCATCCCTGAGATTATATATTTTCTTCTCATATTCATCCTCTCACTTTCTGTGTACCTGGTTCAACTCCTTACTCTCATTTCCATAAGACAAAAACATAGCCCTTAATCATTCATCTGGTCCAAACAAGTGCTGATGGAAGGAACATTAATGATCAAAGGGTCAGAGAGTGGTGTCTAAAGGGGAATCAGGCTCTGGGTGTGTTTTGCTTGGCTTCCTTCTTGGAAGAAAAGAGGGAGGAAAAGAGGGAAAAAGAGAGAAGAAAAAAAAGGAAGCAAAGAGGGAGGGAGCAAGGAAGAAATTGAAATGTTTTTAGAAAAAGCAGAAACTGCCCAATTTGGCCATAAGCCTCATCATTTCCCTTAATGTCTTCCACTGACTCCATCATACCTTTTGATCATTTGCTTGGCACCTAAAGGCAATAATTCTCACATCCAGTCCAAACTTTTCGTTTTACAGTTGAGGAAACGGGAATCCAAGAACAGTGTGTTTCACTTGCCTAAGGTTACCCAGATGGTTGTCAGCAAAGCAAAAGTAAGTGCAGTGACCTGGCTCCCAGCTCCACATTCTCTCCTCTGACCCCACCACACTCTTCCCATAAATTCATCTAAAGGCTGAAACACCAAAATGTTGACAGAAAAAGGTAAAACCAGAATGCAAAATGTATATAGAAAATCATGAGTTCCTGTCATACAAGAAGTTTGTTTCATTTTTCCTTATACTCACCCAACCAAAGGTGGCTAGGAATGAGGTGAATAGGTGAGTCATGTATACAGGTGTTGTTGATAAAATTGTTATCTATTCCCAACGCTGCAGCAAGAGATGAGACATGATTCTGTTATTAAGGCTAAAATACTGCATTTCTAGCAATTTTTCTCCTTTCTGATATCCCCTTACACTCAAGTGTGCAGTACTTAAAATAGAGCCTGGATTGCCTATAATTGTGGCTTTTTTCACCCTTTCTTGGCTATGAAATAGTTCATTTCATACCTCTTGGCTTTATACAACGATGTATTGAATTTAGAGAAGGCGCATGTGCTATCTTGCCCACTTACAAATGTAGTTCTCGGCCATTCTGTGGTTGTTGAATTATAACTACCCATAGAGTAAATGAACACCTAACCTTACTGCCAAGAGACCTCCCAAATCACTTCCAGTTCTAGATTAAATTCTGTGGTTCCCAGGATACCCAGGACACATACACTTTTAACCACACTGGAAACTTTCAGACCATTTACTATGTAGGAATAATACAACAGATCTGTGGGGGCAACAAAGCCTTCCGGTTTTTCTGCCAGAACTCTCGTTTTGAAGAAGAATCATTAAATGTCTCCAATTTCTTGTAAAAGGGCATAGGCGACCCAAAGCAAGAGATATCTTTAGAGAAGTCAAACAGCAAATCCACTGAAAAGTGTAAGGGAATGGATGAAAGGTGAATGTGGAGCTGCTCCAAGATCATCAAGGTCAAAATGAGGCAAGGATCTCATTTTAAAAGCAAGAAAGTAAACGCTGACTCAGTTTTCACATTACAACTTCAAATTATTGATATACCATAATAGTACCAAAATTAAAGAAATGAGGAAAATATCTTTTTTTGTTTGTTTGTTTTGGAGATAGGATTTCACTCTTGTTACCCAGGCTGGAGTGCAGTGGCGCGATCTCAGCACACTGCAACCTCCGCCCACCGCAACCTGCGCCTCCCAGGCTCAAGCAATTCTCCTGCCTCAGCCTCCCGAGTAGCTGGGGTTACACGCGCCTGCCACCACGCCTGGCTCATTTTGTATTTTTAGTAGAGACAGGGTTTCTCCATATTGCTCAGGCTGTTCTCGAACTCCAGACGTCAGGTGATCTGCCCGCCTCGGCCTCCCAAAGTGCTGGGATTACAGGCGTGAGCCACCGCGCCCAACCTCATTTTAAAAACAAGAAAGTAAATGCTGACTCAGTTTTCACATTAGAACTTCAAATTTTGATATACCATAATAGTACCAACATTAAAGAAATAAGGAAATTTGTTTTTGTTTTTGTTTTTGTTGTTTTTTGAGACAGAGTCTCGCTCTGTCGCCCAGGCTGGAGTGCAGTGGCGCGATCTCGGCTCACTGCAAGCTCCACCTCCTGGGTTCATGCCATTCTCCTGCCTCAGCCTCCTGAGTAGCTGGGACTACAGGCGCCCGCCACCACGCCCGGCTAGTTTTTTGTATTTTTTTTTTTAGTACAGACGGGGTTTCACCGTGTTAGCCAGGCTGGTCTCCCATCTCCTGACCTCGTGATCCGCCCGCCCCAGCCTCCCAAAGTGCTGGGATTACAGGCGTGAGCCACCACGCCCGGCCCCAGGAAAAGATCTTTTTAAAATGGAAGTACGATCACGGAAAATAGGGAAAGCATTTTGCATTTTTATGCGGCCACTTCCTGGCTGAATATCAATGAAGGGATATTAGTAGTGACTACATGTGCAGTTATTTACAAGCTAGAGGAAAAACCGGTGAGGAAAGACCAAGACTGTTTATTAGGCTTCCATTAATCATAAACTACGCAAGGCATTTGGGGAAGTAATGGTGGGTAGACAAAACCAAACAAACCAACAAAACCAAAACAAAATAAGACATAGAACTTTAAACTGCATTTTATCTTACTACATAGTAATACAATTCTTAAATTATTAGGCACACTCAAAATAAGGAATTTCCACATAACTCCAGCATTGTTTATTAAGGAACAGAATACTTTACTTTAAAGGGAATTATCAGCCGGGCGCGGTGGCTCACGCCTATAACCCCAGACTTTGGGAGGCTGAAGTGGGCGGATCACTTAAGGTCAGGAGTTCTAGAGCAGCCTGACCAACATGGCGAAACCCAGTCTCTACTAAAAATACAAAAATTAGCCGGGCATGGTGGCGCGTGCCTGTAATCCCAGCTACTTGGGAGGCTGAGGCTGGAGAGTTGCTTGAATCCAGGAGGCAGAGGCTGCAGTGAGCCGAGATGGCACCACTGCATTTCAGCCTGGATGACAGAGTGAGACTCCATCTCTAAATAAATAAATTATACTACTCAAAAATAGCAATTTATATTTGTGAAGAACTTCTGACTGTACTTAAGTTCAGAGTTAATTCTGTTTTGTTTCCTTCCAGAAGCTGTTATATAAGCTAACATACAAAAATAAAAGTGCTACTAAATAAATGATATGTCCTGAAAAACCCATAAACATTTCAGGTTACATTTCCTGATTCACTGTTAAAATTATGAATACGTTTTTTTTTAAGTTGTTTAACTTTTTCTATCCTTCGTATTTGCTCTTGGTGAAATGTTTCCACTACCTTATATTGTTATCACACTAAATTTAAATTTTATTTCAAACTAATTTTAAAATGTATTATCCTTAAATGAAAACCCTTCATTCTGTAATTATTGAAAGCAGTACCACTAGTATTAAACATATTACTATAACATTAATTTAAAATGAACCCCTTTACTGCGTCAAAATGCCTAATGTTAAACAGCCTCCGACAATTATATAAAGACTTAAAATAAGGTCAAAGGAAGAGAAGCATCAGGAAAAACTTTCAATGAAAACAAAAAATTTTTGCCAATCTTAAAAATTACAATTACTCATATCATTGTGCACAGTATTTTTCTTGCTTCCAAATGAAAAGTTAGAAGTGCTTATTTTGTATCTAACAGCTCTTGAAACATCAGTAGGTTGAGGAAGGTGTTCATTAAAACCGATTTTTTTACTCCTGCAGTTTGAATACTGAGAATGTCGACAGTTTGTTAACACAATTGACAGATGTAACAATACATAGTAACCCTTATAAAATCTAGAGTCATGAGAAGATAAACTTTCTAATATTGAAAAACCTTCACTTTGCTTTAAGTAACAAGTATAAATAACAATTAACATTTAATGAGTGCTTGTCTAGTAAGCACTGATCTTTACCCTTACTTTCTATCATAGTAATCTATAATTATTTTTTTTTTTTGTCTTTCTCCCCAACTAATCCAGAAGCTCCATGGGGATAGGAACTTTGTCTTGTTCCTTACTGCATGCCTAGCACCTAGTATGCTTAACACATAGTAGGAGGCACTGACACATAGTAGGCATATTATGCAGAACAACACATGCTTCATAACTTAGTATTCTCAATGTCGCAAACAGTCATGACCTAGAGGCTTATGAAAATGCAACAGAATAGAAAGCAGAGTTTATTACATTTAGTAGAATAAAAATTCTTCAGTGAAACTTATAGTTTATATGTACACATATGTCCCATATAAAATTTATTTCTTACTATAGGTAAACATTTTAAGAAGTCTTAAAATCACTGCTTTATGGGGATTATTTCATTTGCTCCCCACAATAACCCTATGGACAATTCCATAACTTCCATTATAACAGAATCGAAATTTCTAGATGTTATATATGCTGTCCAAGTTGACAGCGCCATCTAAAAGTACAGACATTAAGTCCAACAGAGCTTAAAGGAAAATAAATACAGACATTATTTGTACAGATACTTGCTCATATGGTAATGTGGTAAGAAAATCTAAATTAATAAGGTTTTGATAATAGTAATTATGGCTTGATTAGTAAATACAAACATAGGCTTTGAAGGCAAGCCTGATAATACCTGGCTCTGCAACTAACCAGCTGTGTGGGCTCTGGCCTGTAATTCAACCTCTCTGAGCTTCGCTTTCCCCATGTGTAAAATATTCACACGATTGGTGTAAGCTGCAGATGATTTACTGTATGTAAATAGCCTAAATCAATTAAAAGGGGGCTCTTGTGATTAAAATAATTATTAGTGTTTCCCCCCACTGATCCCATAAATCACATTCAATCCACTGTGCCATAATTTAAATGTGTAAAAACTGTGAATCAGACTTTTATTGGATTAAATAGCAACGTATGGGAACTGAACAAAAATGGCATAGAGCTATCCAAGAGTTTCTGCTGTCGCCGGTTGAGAAAGATGCCAAGTTAAGATCAAGGAGTTGATTGAGGTAACTACGGGAATCTGAGGAAACATCGTTGCTTAACTGTAAAAACTAAATCAAACTATTTCATCCTCCTCAAGACCACAGCAACATCCATCTTGCTCCTCTGTAGCGTGGACGGGGCAGAACCCAGGTGTTAGGAAACGCACCTGGTCTGCTCCCGCCCACTAGGCCCTGGGCACCTCGGGGCTAGGGACAGAGGTTTGGAGCAACTCACCCCGGAGACTCCGTTGATACTGCCCCAGAATCTCCTCCAGGGTAGAGTTCTCCGGGGACTTCGCCATGCACGCACTCTAGGCCCAGAGCTGGGAGTTACGTGGGGAAATGTCCAGCTTTCTCCCTTCCGAGAACAACAGGCCTGTGGCCGGGGAGCGCCCGCCTGCTTCCTGCCGCGGCTGTCACAGGGGAGCCTAGAATCCCGCACAGAGCTCTTGGGGGCTCTTCCCACCCACTGGCCCTCGCTTTGCACGTCGGGAGTTGTAGTCCTCACGTTCAGAACCTGCAAGCTCGACAATCCTCAGGGCCTTCCAGTTACACTACAATTCCCAGAAACCACTGCGCTCCAGGCGCTAGCTTGGACGGTTTGGCTGCCAGAGCCTGCTGCCAAGAGACAGGCTTGCAGGCCCCGCCCTTTTCCTCCAGCCCAGCCTGGTTTAGTCCCGCCTCCATCCCACTCTTCAGCTGCCTGGACCACCCAAATGACAGAAAGGGCTCACTGAAGGCCTTGACGCTTCGAAATTTGCTAATATGCAGCAGTTGATCCCCAGGCTACTCAAGGACGCAGATAGTAAACTCTGAACCCTGCTTCAGTTGCGAGATTTTTTAAAACGGTCGAATAAATCTTCAAGAAATAGAAGCTCTAAATCTTCCAAACAGCCTAGATTGTAAAGGCGGCCGACACTACAACTCCTAGCATGCCCAGCAACCGGACCTTCACTTGGAGTTGGCGCTCTGCCCGCTGGGAACTGTAGTCCTTGTTGGTTGCGGTCCCACCTAACGCCGAGGTCCTCTTCATTGTTCAAGCTGGTCTTTCGGGGCACGCCTGCGCAGTGGGCAAGCTGGAAAAGCGTGTGGGTGAGACCCTCGCACAACCCCTTTTCATTGTCTGTGTGTGGCGCCTGCGCAGTAAGGGATCGTTGGAACTGGGCAGGAGGGGATAGGGTCCGGCTCCTCGCCCTTTCCCGAGGCGCCTGCGCACTAGGCAGTCGGTCTTTGCCGTTACCGCTATGTGTGGGGCGTGTGTGGAATAACGTTATTGCCCAGCGGAGCTGAGGGCCCCGGAGCTCGACCGCAGCGGCAGCGACGACAACAGCGGCGACGACGACGACGACGAGGTGGGGGGAGGACGGCGTGCGAGAGACTCACGGGACGCGACGCGCCCCGCCTCCCCCGTCCGGTCCCTCTCTCCACGGTAAGGGGTAAGTGATGCGATCGGCTGCTCGGTGTAGGCGCCGCAGCCGCAGCCACCGCCGCGGCTGCTTTCCACATCCTGCTCCTCGGGTTTGCGGCGAGGACTCGGGCGCCGCCCGCCGCGGGGCGGGGGTGCGGGGCTGGACCGCGAAGGGGGCGCTTCCCGGGTGCTCCGCGCGGCGCCGCCACCCCCACCCTCTGCCCGCCTGGGACCCGGGGCTTGACGGGACCACCCTTCCCATCCCCCACCCGCCGCCCCCCGGAGCTCCAGTCCTGCGGCCCCCCGGCTTTCCCGAGCCCCTTGCTGCCGCCTCCGCATCCCCTAAGTGCATTGAATCATTTTCAGCTTTCGACTGGCTTTGTGCAGCCCTCCCCCCTCCGCCGTAGCAGTTTGCGAGGGGTGCGGGCGGAGCATTGGAGGGAATGGCTGCGCTGCCGCTGGGGAAGGGATTTTTCCCCCATTGGAGCAGCTCCCCGGGCCAATCCCTTTTGTGTGATTGGTTTTGGGGTGTGAGGCGGTTGGCGAGGTCAGGCGAGCAACCTTTTGGACGCGTTGGGAGGGCGTGGAAGACGCGGTGTCATGCACCCTGCCTGGCGACTGCACCCCGTGGAGGCTCTGGCTCTGTAGTAAACCCGGGGGAGGAGAGAGTGGCTTCCTGTCGGCTTCATTGTCCTAGGATTCAGATGTAGGGTTTTGGTACGTTTCGCTTCCATTTTATGCAAGCGATGAAAAAATAACATTTGCAGCTGCCTAACACAGGGCGGGAAGACGTGGGATTTGTATACTAAGTCACAGAATCTCTGTTCGGTGGTGTTTCGTAGAGTTTTATTTATTTATTTATTTATTTATTTATTTATTTTGAGGAATGTAAGGAAGACAGGGACTATGCCTGCTGGAGTCCAAGCACTGCCAAGGTGATCAATATAAAATTACTAGGTGACGTTGGAGCCTGGGCTAGAGAGGGCCTGACAACGAAGCTGTTGTGTCAGGGAAATGAACAAGCAGAATTGTTTTTTCATTGGGCAGGTAATGCATTTATGTTCCTGAGGGAATGGATACATCTTTCCGTTTATTTTTTAAGCAAGTAAAACAAACAAAACAACTGGCCCAGTACATTTCTGTTACCGAAGTTGTTAACTCATTTTTATTCTCTTAATGAAAATTCAGCCATTTGGGAGGAATTTGGCGAAGCAGATGATACATTTGATTGAAAATGCATATTTTAAAATGATTTAATCCTTAAGCTTACAATGTATGCAGCCGTTTGCTGGCGTTGCTTCTTAAAACACACCAGAAGAGAGAATAAAGCAGGATGGGGAGGAGCAGGTGGAGGAATAATGGGAGAGGAGAGAGTGACATTATGACTATAGTATCTGGATCTTCACTGGTATAACCCTAACTGGGTATGCTTCAGAGACTTAGGAATTCAGCTCTGGAAACAGTACACTGATGAATAGCAACTTATGTATTTTTCTGTTATTATTTTTTAAAAAGTAAAACTAGGGCTGCCTTTAGCTCTTCCTAACTTTGTAGATAACACGGAAGAGCCCAAGTGCACTTGACAGAGGAAGACACTAAAACTCAGAAAGTTAACTGACTTGTCTGCCCAAGCCAGACAGTTAATCGAAGGCAGAGCCAAACGAAACTCAAGGTCCATTCTGCAGAGTGATCTTTCCTGTGTCCCCCTAGCCCTTTTACCTTGTGAAAATGTATGGAAAGCTTCTCTATGTGCTCCCTGAGTAGGCTGTGACTATCACTGAACTTGATTCTCACCGTGATTAATCTAGTTCTTGCCTTTGTGATGTAAAAGTAGTAATCCTCCTAAAATGGACCTTTACTTTCATAAAGTAACTTACTACATGAGGAAAGATGTCCTAACATGTGCTTTTCATAAAAACGAAGTGTTGCAGTGTTTTCCCTACTACCTAATGGTAGCTACTTAACGGTAGGTTTTAATATTATTTCTTGAAAATCAATAGTATTTTATAATAGTATGATGATCAACTCTATAGGCTGTGTTAAAAATAAAATTTCCGCATAACAAGAACCTATGATGTTTATTTTGCCACAGTTAATGAGTTGTAATCATTAATGAGTTATTAGTGATTACTTTTAACTTAAACTAGAATTTACATTTTAAGATATATTAACTTTATGTTTTTTATTGGGTTGATTTTGCCATAAAGTGCTTTTTTCTTCCCTTATAATTTTAATCGTTTAATTTTACGTTGCATTTTAATAGACTTCTTTAAAGGATTTATTATTTATCTTAAATTTCAACTTTAAAAATCTGTAACTAAATTTCAGTATGTGGGATTATATTCAATCATGCTTTAAATGTATTTTACTGGTAAATTTCATTGTGTTCTGAGATTATTTTGTATGGAAATAATCTGCCTGTTCCCTATTTTAACATTAGAATAGTGAAATTTATACTGTAAACCTTAGCATACATTCTGCATATTAATGCTGTTATGGTACTTTTTAAAATTCTGTGCTTCGTGATTTATTTGATTTGTTCCAAGTATCAGTTTCTTGTTCCTTTTTATCTACTGAAAAAAAGAACTAGTTTTATTATTGTATCTGATTGCAATTAGATAATGCTCATCTAGTACTAAATATTGTATATGCTTAAGCTTTTTTGTCAAAATGTTTTTTATTCCACAAAATTGTATTCCTGAAAAATATTTTTTCTATACTAATTAATAGGTAAAGACTTTTCTTTCTTATCTGTCCCAAACACTGGGATGTTAAGCAGTGTACTCTTCAACTAAGTATCTGACAGACAACCTGATATTTAATTGCTAACTAAAGTATCTGTACAGTTGCAAATTATTCTGGAAGTATAACAAAAGAGCAGTTACGTGCCATTTGAAGAATGCTTGGTGAGTAGATAGTATTGACTGGAGCATTCAGTGTTGATCTGTTTCATTAAGAAATGGGATACTTTTGATGGGAAGAAATATCTTTATTTCATTAATAACCAAAATTTCTAATCAGATACCCTAGGTTTTTATTTACTTACTCAAAAATTTCATAAAGGAGTGTTCAGCAGTGAGTTAGCCATTGTGAGAGATAAAAAACATCTGTCTGGTAGTGTGGTTGATTAAACTGGATATATTGTCCAGTTTAGCAGAAATGTTTTAGCCAAAGCCAGTGACATAGCCAATGTGTGTTGCTGTTAAAGCCCACTTTTATATCAAATAAAGGTGGAAAAACAAAACAGCAAAAGCAAAGTTAAAGAAAACCTCATAAAATCTACTTACATACAAACAGGAATTGCAGAAAGTATAGAAGTGGAAAAGAATCCCAAGCATGCATTGTTGAGGTCTGAAAAACAAATGACACATAGCAGAGAACAAGTCATTTTTTAAGTATATCCATAAGTAATAAATGATATAGAAAATATTACCCTTTGAAACACAATATTTATTGAATCGTTGAATAATACCTACCAAATTTTGAACATTTCCTAGGTGCCAGGAAGTTTATGTGTGTGTGGTGTGTGTGTATTTAATTTCTGCAACAAACTTCTAAATTAAGGTATTATTTTTACACATTGAAAAAATTTGAAGCATAGAGTTAGTGAATAACTTTGCCTCTGCGTTACACATTCCTAAGTGATAGGGCCTATAATTGAACCTTTGTCTTTTTGGCTAAAGCCAAAATTCTTTCTACTCATCTTTTTTAGTAAGTTAAAGGGTACCACTTATTTCCTTACTCTGGTTCATAAAATTTTAGAATTCAAGGGAACTTTAGAAGTCAGCTCATACAATGTATCACCCACTACTAATATCTCTGAGATGTTATTGGGTCCAACTTCTCCACAAACCCTTCCCTGGGCATAGGAAAGCCTGTTTAGCTTCCAAAAAGTGTAATAGGAAGATCTCACTTAAATTGAGCTAGTAGCTGCTTTTACTATATAACTTCTTCCCACTGGTTGCAATTCAGTCTTTAGGAGTAAGATGAAGTAAGGTTTTTCTCAATATATTAGCTAGATTTTCTCTTGTCTAAATGTTAGGACACCTCCAACTTCATATGGTTTCCTTTGCCATCCCTCACATCTCTCAGCTGGATTCAATCAGTTTTGTCAGTGCTATTCTTTGTGTTCTGATCTTGTTTCCATATTTAATTCTGCAGTTATGGTCTGAATGCAAAGTGCAGTGAAATTGTCCCTTTCCTTATTTCAAGCCATACACTTGTGTTTAAAGTCTAAAATTGTATCAACTCTTTAACAACAGTCATCTCTGCTAATTCAAAGCAAAAAGCAGAGAGAGAGAGAGAAATGTTACATGGCTTTTCAAGTTATATTTATGTAATTCAAGGTACTATTTTTTGAGATTTTGTTCTCCTTTTCTAATGTTCATAAATGGCCTTTATTAAATGATAGTGTTAGTAACACCTATTAAGTAATGATAGGTTAAGTTTCTTTTGATGTTGGTCATGGGGTTTTGTTTTATTTTAGTGTTCCTGATTAACCAATAAAAAGTTGGCAGCCTTATGTTGATTCTTAATTTGTTTTCTGAAAAATTGGTCTGGAAACCACTGATGTAGTCAACATAAACCAACATTTTTACACTTAGCTAGATTTCTCCCATTGTGTATAAACACACAGGTGATGTTTTTAAACCAGTATTTTACCATTGCCTCCTATTAAATTTCATCTCCGTGAACGTAGCTATAGTTAAAACTTGAGATCTTCTTGAATCATGATTCTGTCATCCAAGGGATTAGCTTTCCTTCCTGGCTTTTTGACATTTATAAATTCAACAAGCCAAACTCTTATGTCTCCATCCTGGCCATATACTTAATATAGCCAAGGACAAAGCCATGCACATTTATAAATAGAATGAATGTTACATAAATAAAAGATGCTGGGAGGAAAGGTGACACAAAAATAATGAAAACCATTCGGATGGGTTTTTTTTGTTTGTTTGTTTTTGGGGCCTTTTTGTTTGTTTTTGTTTTTGTTTTTTTGAGACGGAGTCTTGCTCTCTCGCCAGGCTGGAGTGCAGTGGCTCAGTCTCGGCTTACTACAACGTCTGCCTCCTGGATTCAAGCTATTCCCCTGCCTCGGCCTCCCGAGTAGCCGGGACTACAGGCACGCCCGGCTAATTTTTTGTATTTTAGTAAAGACAGGGTTTCACCATGTTGGCCAGGATGATCTTGATCTCCTGACCTCATGGTCCACTGCCTAGGCCTCTGAAAGTGCTGGGATTACAGGTGTGAGCCATGGCGCCTGGCCTTGTTTTGTTTTTTAAATTAAAGAGAAAACCATTATATCCTCCAGCAGTAAAGGAATTAGATGAAGTTTACAATATACTGGAGGATATGGATAATTCTTTTACGATGTAAAGTCAAGTAAGGATAGATGCTATGAAGAAAAATTAATCAAGGTAAAGAGACAGTGGTAGAGGACTGCTGTTTTACATTTGTTTTCAAGTGTTCATTCAGGTAGTTTTCAAATAATATTTTGAAAAGAAATAATATGAAAAACCTTTTCACCCTACATCTTATCTGCTGAGTTACCACTTTTGCCAATCCAGTAAGTAGCTATTTTTATTATTTCTTATGTATTCTTCAATGAACTTTATTTATTTATTTATTTATTTATTTATTTATTTATTTTGAGACAGAGTCTTGTTCTGTCGCCCAGGATGGGGTACAGGGGCAGGATCCCAGCTCATTGCAGCCTTGACCCGCTGGGCTTAAGCAATACTCCCACCTCAGCCTGTTGAGTAGCTGGGACTACAAGTGTGCGCCACCATGCCCAGCTAATTTTTTGTAGAGATGAGGTCTCACTATGTTGCCAAGGCTGGTCTTGAATTCCTGAGCTTAAGTGATCCTCTTTCCTCAGCCTCCCAAAGTTCTAGTATTACAGGCATGAACCACCACGCCTGGCCATGAATTTTTCTTCACCTCAAGCAAATATAAATACATATTTTGTGTCCCCTCTATGACACAAAAAAATAGCCTCTTTATCCACTATGCTACACCTTGAGAACTATCTTAGAGTGGTTAGGGAATCCCTCTTTCTGAGGTGACATTTAGCAGAGAACTTGCATTAGGTAAGGAAGCATCTTGTAGGTATCTGAGTGGAGAGTATTCTACTCAGGTGCGGTGGTTCTGAGGCAGGAATGGGATAAGTGAATTTGGAGAACACTGTGGCTGAAGGTGAGTGAGGAAAAGGTGCTTATAGGAGGAAATGAGGTTGCATAGAGATTTTATTCATTGATTTTAAGTGCTATGAGCATTCATTGGAGGATTTTGAGCAAAGCCAAAAAATTGGGTTATATTTTTAAAGAATGGCTCTGGGAATTCTTTAAAACACTGGGAACCATGAGATAAGCTAGGAAATGATTGGAATGATCTGGTTTAAGAGACATTAATGGCTTAGACTAGAGCGACAGTAGTGGCAATAGTGAAAGTTACTAGTTTCTGGCTTTAGAGAGTCAAATGTTTTGGATATGTTAAGTTTGAAGTGTCTGTTAAACGCCCAAGTGGACACATCAGGTAGGCAGTTAGATATGTAAGTCAAGCATTCAGAGGAGAGGTTTGGACTGAGGATAGTTAAATGTTAAGCATCACCAGTAGACTTAAAGGGATCTCTTGGCTAGGGAGTTAGACTGAGAAGAGATCCAAGAATTGAGAATTGGTACTTTCCACATGGAAAGCTGAGCAAAAGAGAAGGCGCCATCGAGGAGGATTGAAAAGTGGACAGTGGGGTGTGAGGAAACTGAAGAGTGTGTTGTCCCACAAGCCAAGTAAAGGAAGTATTTTTAGAGATAAGGAGTGATCAGTCCCCTGTATCACCTTTAATCACCTAAATACTTCATAAGAAATCAGGCAGTATCCTCTTTCTTTCTGAATGGTCTCTGAGAAAGCAATTTCCTTTTTTAAATCTGGTTTATCAACATGAATGTTCACAGTTATTCTCCCCTGGCAACTACTAAATCTAAAGCCCTGAACAAAGTTTTACTCATAAAGAGGCCAATGCTGTTTCCTACGTGGATGAGTATGGCAGCTGCTGCTGCCTCTGATGTTTGAACAGGAGAAGCGATGCTGTTTCATAGGAAGAATTTATCAGGAAGCTAGTGATAGTCCAGCTACCTCAGAGGTTTATTGTGGTAGCCAAACGAGGTAGATGTAAAAACCAAATGAAAGGTATAATTGCAGATAGGGGTCTCCTTCCCTTATTGCCCCAAGTGTGGTACCAACTTGATAGTGTTAGATTTGAAGAACTATGTTGGCAAATAAAAATATTTTTCATTTTGAGTCTGTAGGAATAGTTTTTTACTTCCTATGCACTCTATCCCGATAGGCAGTTTCGCACATCATTTTATAATATTCTTGAGGGTAGAGAAAAGGGCTAGAAAGAGGATAAGAACAACCAGGGCAGGCGCGGTGGCTCACGCCTGTAGTCCCAGCACTTTGGGAGGCCGAAGCGGGTGGATCACCTGAGGTCAGGAGTTCGAGACCAGCCTGGCCAACATGGTGAAACCCCGTCTCTACTAAAAATACAAAAATTAGTCAGGCGTGGTGGCGCAGGCCTGTAATCCCAGCTACTCAGGAGGCTGAGGAAGGAGAATTGCTTGAGCCCAGGAGATGGAGATTGCAGTGAGCCAAGATCACGTCACTGTACTCCAGCCTGGGCAACAGGGTGAGACTCCATCTCAAAAAAGAAAGAAAAGAACAACCAGGCTTTGAGATAATAGCTTTTTTTCCCAATCCTAAACTCATCCTTTAATTCTAAACAGTGTCTAAATAAAGAGAATTGAGGTAGAAAAGTAAGCAAGTTAAAAGGCTTCCTTACTTTTTTTTTCCCTAGGCCAGCCAGGAAGACTTTCTTCTTTTAACTGACTTTTTTCTGGAAAGTGTTCAACTGAGTAATGGTTTGTCACATGTTACATGGAATAGAAAAAGTGCAAATTCAAAGCTTAGGGACTGGTTAGGGGTTTTGAACTCTAGGCAGCCAGCTAGAAACTGATTTGAGGAAGCAGGAGGGTGGGGGAAATGAGTCTGCTTGATGATAATAGGGGTAAAGTGCAAAATACTTATTTTGGTGAAAAAGGAACATCGCAAATACAGGACTTTTTGTGGTAAGCTTTTTGAGGCAATAGGACTATAACTTCACAATACATAGGTATCTTGCAGACCTTATATAATATGATTTGCTATGGCTGGTCATTAAATACTTCTCCTTGGATAAAAAATGCATATAATGCATTGCAAATTGAAGGCCATTTTATTTTTTATATTACAAATCTAATCCTAATACATGGCAGAAAATTTAGAAAACAAGATTTTCTACCATTAAGTACTATCATAATCCCACTAGCCAGTAACCCTGTTATGTATTCTTGTCTATTCTGGTTTAATTTGGTAACATTTTATCATGAAGTTAAACTTTCTGGCTCTAACTTTTAATGTGGCATAGAATCTGTCTTCTCAAACATGTAATCTACTTACACACAATTTATGAAAATTAAATGTATTTTTAAAATTGTAAACAACAGGCCGGGCCCAGTGGCTCATGCCTGTAATCCCAGCACTTTGGGAGGCCGAAGCCAGCAGATCACTTGAGGTCAGGAGTTCAAGACCAGCCTGGCCAACATGGGGAAACCCTGTCTCTACTAAAAATACAAAAATTAGCTGAGCGTGGTGGTGCACACCTGTAATCCCAGCTACTCGGGAGGCTGAGGCAGGAGAATCGCTTTAATCCAGGAGGCAGATGTTGTAGTGAGCTGAGATTGCTCCACTGCACTCCAGCCTGGGTGGCAGAGCGAGACTCTGTCTCAAAAAAAAAAAAAAAAAAAAAAAGTAAACAACACTGTAATGGACATTTCTAACTCTGAATTTCTGTGCAAATCAATGTTTTTCTTTGATTTCAACAAATTATGCTTAAAATACAATGCAGATACAAATGCAGAATTCTACTAATTAAACCTTTTCTAACTTTTTAATAAAATTACCCCCTCCAGTTTATATCAGTTTATTCTTCTACCACTGGCATATGAAACTGTGTGTTTCTTCACCCCTTCATCAGTGCTGAATATTACGTATCTTTTTTAAAATTTGCTTTCTTTTTTCTTTTTTTTTTTGAGACGAGGTCCCGCTCTGTTACCCAGGCTAGAGTGGAGTGGTGTGTTCATGGCTTGCTGCAGCCTTTACCTCCTGGGCTCAAGGGATCCTCTCCGCTCAGTCTCCCAGGTAGCTGGGACTGTAGGCATGGGCTGCCATGCCCATCTAAGTTTTTTTGTTTTCTTTTCTTTTTTGTGTTTTTTTTGTTTTGTTTTTTGTTTTTTGTTTTTTGTTTGTTTGTTTTGTTTTCTTGAGATGGAGTCTTGCTCTGTCGCCCAGGCTGGATTGAAGTGGCGAGATCTCGGCTCACTGCAACCTCTGCCTCGCGGGTTCAAGCAATTCTTCTGCTTCAGCCTCCTGAGTAGCTGGAATTACAGGCACACACCACCACACCTGGCTAATTTTTGTATTTTTAGTAGAGACGGGGTTTCACCATGTTGGTCAGGCTGGTCTTGAACTCCTGACCTCGTGATCCGCTCACCTTGGCCTCCCAAAGTGCTGGGATTACAGGCGTGAGCCACCGCACTGGCCAAGGTTTTTTATTTTTTTATAGAGACAAGGTCTCATTTTGTTCCCTAGGCTGGTCTCAAACTCCTGGGCTCTAGCAGTTTTCCTGTCTCAGCATCCCAAAGTGGTGGGGTTACAGGCATGAGCCACCCAATCTGGACAGTTTTGCCACTTTGATGAACAACAACCAAAAAAAAAAACCTTATTTAAATTTCTTTTATCAATAACACTTGACATTTTTTTAAAATGTGCTTATTGGCCATTGTATTTCTGATCTGAGTTGCTTGTATGTGTGCCTTTTGCACACATACATTATATTCACTTGTTCATCATTATATTCACTTGTAGCAGATTCTAGGATCACCATACTTCTGTTGTATCACCCTGCTTCCCTCACTTATAACAACTTTTGGGTAACAGATACTGTAAAATTTTTTCCCAGATTGTCATTGCCTTTTAAATTTGTTATTTTTACCCAACAAAGATTTTAACATGTATATAGTCAAATTTCTTATTTCCTTTTCCTTATGAAATAATCTCACTACATGAAATTTTATTAAATACATGCCTATCATATTTGTGATTTAAATTTTTACATACAAGTGTGTTAATTGATTTTTTTTTTTAGAATGTATTTAGTCATATATAGCCTGCTGTGTCAGTTTATTGTGTAACTCTTCGGAGTTTTTACTTTCTTTTTTTTTACTTTTTGTGAAACAGGGTTTCACTTTGTCCTCCAGGCTGGAGTGCAGTGGGGGGATCTCCATTCACTGCAGCCTCGATCTCGTGGGCTCAAGCCATCCTCCCGCCTCAGTCCCCCAAGTAATTGGGAATACAGGGCACATGCCACCAGGCCCAGTTAATTTTTTCGTGTTTTTGGTAAAGATGGGGTTTCACCGTGTTGCCCAGGCCGGTCTCAAGTTCCTGAGCTCAAGCTATCTACCTGCCTGAGACTCCCAAAGTGCTGTGATTACAGGCGTGAGCCACGGCTCCTGGCCCAGAGTTTTTACTTTCTAAACTATTTGTTTTTTAGTTTCCTCTTTTCACTAGAGTTAAATTGGGAGGTAAGTTTTTGAGGGTGTGTGTGTGTGTGTGTGTGTGATACAAGGAGCTCTCTATTTTGGGCAGGGGGGTTATTCTAGATTTTTTTCTTTTTTTTGTAATGAAAATTCTCAAATGTACAGGACAGTTGAATTTCACAATGACTACTCATATACTCACCATCTTGATTCTACTAGGAACACGATAGCAGTTTTATCACATACCTAGCCATTTATTTATCATTCCATTCATCAGCATATCTTGTATTTTGATGCATTTCAAAGTAAATTGCAGATATTAGTATTTGTGTGTGTTTAACTAAAGTGTTCTTAAATTAATTGAGGCTAATTATGTTTCAGTTTTACATTTTCCGAATGTACTACTGAAATATTTTCCAACCAATCACTGTTATATTAAAAAAAAGACAGTTAAAAAATGAACATACTGGTTTTCACTCCAGTAGTGTTGGTGAACTAGGTGTTTCTGTAAACAGGTAGCTAAATTGACACAGATGACATTGAGTTATTCCTTTTGGGGGTAGGGCATTTGTGTATGTGTGTGTGTGTGGTGTCTACTTTTAAAGAGGAATGATGGACGGGCGTGGTGGCTCCTGCCTGTGATCTCAATACTTTGGGAGGCTGAGGTAGGCGGATCACAAGGTCAGGAGTTCAAGACCAGCCTCGCCATCATGGTGAAACCCTGTCTCTACTTTAAAAAAATACAAAAATGAGCTGGGCATGGTGGTGTGCACCTGTAGTCCCAGCTACTCGGGAGGCTGAGGCAGGAGAATCACTTGAACCTGGGAGGCAGAGGTTGCAGTGAGCTGAGATCGCCCCACTGGACTCCAGCCTGGGCAACAGAGCAAGACTCTGTCTCCAAAAAATAAATAAATAAATAAATAAATAAATAAATAAATAAATCAGAATGGTAAGTTGAATTTTGTTTTTGTTTTTTAAGCTAAAGAGCTATTTAGGGAAGCTTATATTGTTTCTCTGATCTAGAGGTTCTATCCTTTAGTGGCAAATCCAGGAGTAAATTATTCATTCTAAATTTTATATCTTACTACATTCCACTTCCACTGTCCCCCTACCCTTCTTTACCTACATGAGGAATTCTGTGTTGGTCTATTTAGTAAAAAATGAGAGCCCTTGCTTTATGTTTTACCCTATGACTCTTTCCTTCCTTCCTTTCTCCCTCCCTCTCTCTCACTCTGTCGCCCAGGCTGGAGTGCAGTGGCATGATCATAGCCTACTGCAGCCCCAAACTCCTGGGCTCAAGCGATCCTCCTGTCTCGGCCTCCTAAAGCAGATAGGCATGAGCCACCACGCCTAGCCTTTTCTCTATGATTCTAAGTGGTGTATAACAAATTCCAGAATGTTAAGGATCTGCTATAGAGAATCAACAATTCAAAAATTTAGGACCGGGCGCAGTGGCTTATGCCTGTAAAGCTAGCACTTTGGCAGGCCGAGGCAGGTGAATCACCGGAGGTCGGGAGTTGGAGACCAGCCTGACCAGCATGGAGAAACCCCGTCTCTACTAAAAATACAAAATTAGCTGGGCGCAATGGCGCATGCCTGTAATCCTGGCTACCTGGGAGGCTGAGGTAGGAGAATTGCTTGAACCTGGGAGGCGGAGGTTGCAGTGAGCCGAGATTGCGCCACTGCACTCCAGCCTGGGTGATAGGGCAAAACTCCGTCTTGGAGAAAAAAAAAAAGGATTCAAAATTTATAAATTGGAGAGGCATGAACAAATAGAATCCAAGTCGGTGAAAGGTAAATAAAGTAAAGTTTAGAACTTGGGGAGGGTACCATACCCTGGGGACAAGGGGATGGGACTGCTTGGTATCTGGCAGAAGCAGGTCTAGTGTTTATTGTGAGTAACGTTTAGAACATAACTCATTGGCCGGGCGTGGTGGCTCACACCTGTGATCCCAGCACTTTGGGAGGCCGAGGCAGGTAGATCATGTGGTCAGGAGATCGAGACCATCCTGGCTAACACGGTGAAACCCCGTCTCTACTAAAAATATAAAAAATTAGCCGGGCGTGGTGGCGGGCGCCTGTAGTCCCAGTTACTCGGGAGGCTGAGGCAGGAGAATGGCGTGAACCCGGGAGGTGGAGCTTGTATTGAGCAGAGATCACGCCACTGCACTCCAGCCTGGGCGACAGAGCGAGACTGTCCCAAAAAAAGAAAAAAGAACATAACTCATCACTAGAATCTGGCACCTTTTCCTAGTGGATATTGGGTCGATTCCAAATTAACGTCCTCTGCCCTTCAAATATAACAAGATGAGGGTAGGAATAGTTCATCAAAGAATGCTGTTTTGACAACCATTTGCTTTCATCTACTTCTCAGATGTCTGTTTTTACCACTAGGATTTCTAATGTTTGACTTTCCTTTCTCTCTTGTTCTTGGGCCCAATTTGTAGTCTCCTCCTCCAGTCTGCATTCTAAATCAGTACATTGTGCTTTTCCTGTGCTCTAATATGTTTTCTATTTCTTTCTTTTTGATCTTCCTAGTCAACTTCATAGCCCACTCCCCCTACCCTCCTGTATTGTCACCCCATGCAATCCAAGCTGAAGGAGTCTATTTGAGAGATTAGAAAATGTATACTTTTTTTTTTTTTTTAATGAGAGGGAGTCTCACTATGTTGTCCAGGCTGGAGTGCAGTGGTGAGATCTCGGCTCTCTGCAACCTCTGCCTCCCGGGTTCAAGGGATTCTCCTGCTTCAGCCACCCGATTAGCTGGGATTACAGGCGCCTGCCACCACGCCCAGCTAATTTTTGTATTTTTAGTAGAGATGGGGTTTTGCCATGCTGGCCAGGCTAGTCTCAAACTCCTGACCACAAGTGATCCACCCGCCTCGGCCTCCCAAAGTGCTGGGATTACAGACGCGAGCCACCACTCCCGGCCTACATTTTCTTGATATAGTTAAGATAATCTCTTTATAGCTCTCATCATATCATCACCTTCTTTTATATTTTAAAATACCTTTATAGAAGGTGAAGCATTCTTATCATGTTTTAATTCACAAAGCAGTCATTTTAGTTATAATGACATTTTGGTAAAGAAAGGGATGTCGTTAACATTGTTTTATAAGGCGATTAAATTGCTAGTGTCTGGTTTTTCTGTTTTGCACATTCTAGTTTTGTAGTCTTAATGTGGAGCACACCTGTAGTTTGCAACACTTGGTCTGAACCGAATCTGTGATTCAAAATATTCGTATTCCTTAGTACTTCTAAGTAATTCTTGCAAAAAGTTGTGTTTCATTAACTTTTCATTTTTATGTTCGGAGGCACCCTCCTACACAAAATGAAATTTGCCTTCTACAATTCTCTGTTCATTTAGATATTATTAAAACTTTGAACTTTGTTTTCATAGTGTGAAAATGGAATATTAAGCACTTTGTTGTTTGAATTCGTGCTTCTGGCTGGGCACGGTGGCTTACACCTGTAATCCTAGCACTTTGGAAGGACGAAGCGGGAGGATCATCTGAGGTTAAGAGTTCAAGACCAGCCTGGCCAACATGGTGAAACCTCATCTCTACTAAAAATACAAAAATTAGCCAAGCATGGTGGCAGGCACCTGTAATCCCAGCTACTTGGGAGGCTGAGGCAGGAGAATCACTTGAACCCAGTAGGCAGAGGTAGCAGTGAGCTGAGATCGTGCCATTGCACTCCAGTCTGGGCAACAGAGCAAAAACTCTGTCTCAAAAATAAATGAATAAATAAGTGCATCTTAATCTGTGCACAGTGAAATCTGCAGAATTTCAAAAAAAAAAAAAAAATACAGATACCCATACCTTACCAGTTACATTATAAGTTCAAGTCTTCAGGTATGAAGCCTAGACATATTGATAAATACATACACACATAGAAGTGTTCCTGTGTGTAAAAATCTCCGCAAGTGATTCCAGGTCTAAGAGCCATTAGCTTAAGGTGATCTCCTTAACTAAGGGTTGTCTTCTAGGGAAATAAGGTGGAACGTCTAACCGTGATGGTGAACGGCTTCACTTTCAAAGTGAGGAGATGAATCTTGGAACGGATCATATGGATTGCTTATTGCAATTCTAGTCTGATTTATTTTGTATTAAATGGATTGTATTCTTTTTTTTGAGACAGAGTTTCTTGTTGCCCAGGCTGGAGTGCAATGGCGTGATCTCAGCTCACTGCAACCTCCACCTCCCAGGTTCAAGCAATTCTCCTACCTCAGCCTCCTGAGTAGCTGGGATTACAGGCATGTGCCACCATGCCCAGTTAATTTCGTATTTGTAGTAGAAACAGGGTTTCACCATGTTGGCCAGACTGGTCTCAAACTTCTGACTTCAGGTGATCCACCCTCCTCAGCCTCCCGAAGTGCTGGGATTACAGCCCGGCCAGATTGTATTCATATTACCAAGTAATCAGAAAATTCCCAGTGAATTTTATGTCAGATTTCTAGTATGGCTATTGGCCTATTGATAAAACTTCACCAGAAAAGTTTATATTGTGCCACTATTACCTATTAATATTTGCTGAACATTTACTAAAGTTTCAGGCATCCATACAAGGTACAAGAGATACCAGGATTACTAAGTAATAGCCACTTTACTCAAGCAACTCAGTTTATAAGGGAAAATAGACAAAAATGAATATATTTTGTACAAAGAAGTTTAGGAGTTGCTGTAGGTATATGTGAAGGGCAAGATAGGTGGTCAGAATTGAGAGGCTGGGAATTCTATGGGTGTTTTTCTGGGGGAAGTGATTGCTGGAGAAAGCTCACTATGAAAGGTCTTGGGACAGCATAGAGCTTTCATTTTCAAATTCAGTTGGACATGGAATACAAGGGAGGAGCAGAGTAACATGGGGAGATAACAGGGCTTTTTACTCAAAACTGAAGAGTTTGAATTCTATCTTGAACTCTATAGGGAGCTATTGAAAATTAGGGAGTGAAATTATTACATTTACTTTTATAAATGTAATTTTGATAGCTGGATAGAGGAAGGATTTGGAGAGTGGGAGGCTAGAGACAAGGGATTCAGGTAAAAGAGTTCTGCAGTAATTTATTGGTAAGAACCAGTGGGATAAGAGGAAAGGCACAAAGAAAGATATTTAGGATGTGGAATCAAAGGGACATAATGACTTACCTAACTAAAGCGGGAGTGGGAGAGAAAATATCTGGTCAGTTGGTGATGCCATTCGCTAAGACGGGGAGAACAGGAAAAAAGGCACATTTCGTTAGATGAAAGGGTTCTTTCTGTTTTTTAAAAATTAAATCTGAGGAGTCCAGGAGGACCTTGAACTGGAAATGACTCGTAAGCAGAGGGAAGGTCTGATCTTGTAAAAAAGGTTTTGACTTGAAATTATATGTGTAACATTATAATAAGCAATATTGGAAGCCCAGGGTTTTCAAAGAAGTCCCAAAGAGATTATGTATAGGGAAGTAACCCCGTAAAAACAGAATTTAAAGAAAAAGTAGACACTTTCAAAGAGATTGAGGCGTGCCCACAGAAGTGAGAGGAAAGCAGACTGATACTTGTAGAAGGCAAGAATGGTCAAAGATATTGAGAGGTAATTTAAGATAGCAATACTAGAGATCATTAGATTTAACAGGAGGACATTTTCAACCATGAACCGTTAGCACCATAGTTCAAATTCCAAAAATTACTTTGACTTTGGAAATTCAAATTTACTACTAATATGTGGACTGAGTTCTGTTATAAAATTACTTTCTGATTAGATGATTTGATTTTTTCTTTAATACATGTATATATACCATACACTCTAGTACATTTGCTAAAAGAAAATTCAAATATAATGAGGAAAATTATACTTTTAAAAAATGATCTACCATTAGGTTTTGGGTTACTTCCACTTGTTGGCTATTAATACCAATAATCTTTTATCTGTGTTAGCTTCTGTTTACCCTCAAAATTGCAGAAGCTCTTCTCTAAATGAAATATATCACTATTCTTTTTTTTTTTTCCAGGGCAGTTCACTGTGTTGCCCCAGCTAGAGTGCAATGGCACAGTCTTGGCTCACTGCATCCTTGACCTCCTGGGCCCAAGCGATCTTCCTATCTCAGCCTCCCTTGTAGCTGGGACCACAGGTGCACGTCACCACACCTGGCAATTTATTTATTTTTTTTATTTTTTTGTAGAGACAGGGTGTCACTTTGTTGCCTAGGTTGGTCCTGAATTCCTCGGCTCAAGTGATCGTCCCACCTCGGCCTCCCAGTGTTCAGTGTTCTTTAGGCTGGCTGTGCCTAGCGATTCCCTCCCTTAAGAGAATTCTTGTATTTCACCTTCTCAGAAATAATCAAACTACAGAACAATTCCATTGAACTGTTACATACCTCATGGCATTCTGGTAAAGATAAACCTAATCACTTTAAACATCCATAGCCTAAGAATTACAGTATATGAAAGAACAGTCTTGCCAATACAATGAATATTTAAAAATTTTAGACAAAAGATAGACCCGATTGTTTATATAATTTACTACTTTGTATGAAAGTCATAATGATGCTGTCTTTTTTAAGATGGAGTCTCGTTCTGTTGCCCAGGCTGGAGTGCAGTGGTGTGATCTTGGCCCACTGCGACCTCCACCTGCCAGGCTCAAGCAATTCTCCTGCCTCACCACCCCCAGTAGCTAGGATTACAGGCACCCGCCACAAGGCCCAGCTAATTTTTTATATTTTTAGTAGAGACGGGGGTTTCACCATATTGGCCAGGTTGGTCTCGAACTCCTGACCTCAGGGTGATCCACCCTCCTCGGCCTCCCAAAGTGCTGGGATTACAGGCGTGAGCCACCATGCCTGGCCTATAGTGATACTATCTCAATTAAATTAAAATACAAAGCACTTTATTTTCTTTTGATTAGATTAAAATTTTCTTTTCCAGCATGCATTATTTTATCAGCTATTCTGCATGTTTATATACTATAAGTATGAGGTATTTAACGAAAGCGATCCTTAAGGTAAATAATAGTGTCATTTGTTAGTTTGAGAGCTGAACTAGCTAGAGTGCCACTAGCCATATATGAATATGTAAATTTAAATGAATTAAAATTAAATGAAATTTAAAATTCATCTTTTTAGTTGTATTAGCTGTATTTCAAGTGCTCAATAGTTAACACATGGCTTGTGGCTAATGTATTGGACAGGAATATTTCCATCATCACAGTCTGTTGCACAGTGCTGGTATAGAGATATTTATAAAAATTATAATTTAACATGAAGATAAAAAGAAAAACTGCATAATTTAGGCTAGTAATTAGCAACTTACTGTTATACAGTAAAGTGTGTTAGTGATATATTCACTAAATACATTCTTGCTTAAAATAGACTCTGAGACGTTTCAGTTTTCTACACTTTGAAGTTTCAATTCACTTTTCATATGTTATACTGATAATGCAATGGAAATGATTTGTACCCACCTCCCAAATAGTTAATGTATAGTGAATCAGAAAAGGTATTGAAGATGAACAGAAACCATTTTTAAAGGGCACAAGAATTAGTGATATGCTAAAATTAATTGCAGACACATGGCAGAGAAATTGTTGTCCTGCGTGAGCTAAGAACAGTGAATCAAAGCATTTGACTTTCAGGATCGTAACAGACCCTTAACCCAGACTGCTTTCCTCCCATTGTCACTCCCTCCTGTAGACAGTTTCAGGTCTTCCAGACAGCTTTGTGTGGCTTTTCCTGCTCCTAGTGCTCTATGATCTGACAGTTTTTTAGATTTATAGTTATTTAGTGAACCTGGAGATAGTTTACTATTCTTTCAGAGTCTAGGTTTCTAATCCATGCTATACCCCAGTTTACTAAATTTCCCTCGTTTCTCTAGATTGATCCGCTGATTTTTGGCCAGCTGATTTTTGGTTTTTGGTTTTAATAACTGATTGATTCTTTCTTGTCTGTGAACTTCTCGAGGAGAGAATCTTGGAGCCTGCTGGTGGCCAAACAGGAGGCTGAGAAGATTGAAAATAGGCTGAAATTTACATGAACTGTCAGCATTTATTGCCCAAACAGAGTGTTAGAGAACTCGTTGTTAAGTTAAAATATATTGCATATCATCATACTCCAACTGTAGCCAAATCCGAGACTGGCAGAATCACCTGCATCATTTCGAGGTATATTTAAGAAAAATACAAAGGAGATAGTGATTTGTGGGAAAAGCCCCATATTTGGTAGCTGAAGGCCCAGATTTGAATCTAGGTGGTTCCTGTTTATACTGCATTTGTAACCTTGAATAAGGCTTTAACTTTAGTTTTCTTAAGGGAAAAATGTTTCTTGAATGCTTGTTTTGGGAGTTAAATGAAAGAATGCAAGTATTAATAGAAGCAATTAGCACAGTTACTGGCACAAAGGAGGTACTTGATAAATGTCTGAATCTAAGTCAATTGATTTTTTGGTGTAAAGCAACAAAATTATGCTTTAATGAGGGTAGTACAGTTCTACAAAAGCAAACAAGTCAGACTTTACGTGTTTCATAAACTGACAGGGAAAACCTAGCAAGAATTTTTAATGCCTAGATAATTTATGGAAAAGTATAACTTGTTTTTTCTTAGGTATTTTCTTTAAGCACTTTATTGAATGTTTTTTATGAAGAAATCTTTAATTAAATCACTGGCTTGCTAGCTTTTCCCATCAAATCTAAATCTTCTGTTAAAAATATATAATAAACTCAGACATAGAATATGTGGTGTGGTATTTGGAATGTCATCTTCACTTATTTTTATGAGAATTTTTTTTTTTTTTTAGTTTTAATGCTATATCAGATTTAAGTTGCAGCTTATATTTTTTCTTTAAACCTATTTGCTTTAATTGCCTTTCACAAAAGAATTAATAATGTATATGGCAGATGATAAAGGTAAAATTTAGAGTAGTCATTCCAGAATAATCATGAGTGTATGAAAGCAGAAATTTTCCCAGTAATGAGTTTGTTCACATGAGCATGAAACAAGTATCTTGGTAAGTATCCAAAAAAAGCACAGCTGTGGATTTATCCTTTTGGAGTAACTATAAAACAAGGGTGGAGATTTTAAATAAATGAATTTTTTCCAAGAGTATATTTCATTATGTGTGCCAGATCAAATTAATTATACAGCAGAGCTGAATTTTTGAATATGTTCTAAGCATATGTCAGTTTCTCAAAGATATTTCCGTAGACCACCCCGGCCTGAAGAGCACCACCCGAGTTATCCTGTCCTCTTTGTTTTTTCATGTTTCTTTCTTCCCACTGCCCCTGAGGTTTTCTTATTCATTTATGTAGCTATTTGTTTATTTTTGCTGCTGTGAGATTAGGAACTTTTTCTATCTTGATCCATTCTCTTTCCCCAGTATCTTATAGTGCTTACTACTTGTGAATGAAGAAACAAACTGGGTTTTATTTTATAGTACTCTATAAAATGGGGTCCTCATGTGTAACAGTATATAATGTTTATGTCCATTTTCTCGAACTTGAAGAATTTTTGTAGCTAAAACCAATTATGTCTATATACACACCTATATGTGAAATTCTTAGAACAGTGCCTGATTCATATTAAGTAGTCAATAAATGCTACCAATTATGAATAAAACCATTTGCTTTTATAATATATGATTTGCATTTTACTTGATCCTGAGTTACTATGATGTATGTTTGGACTTTATTTGATAATGAATCCTTAGTTGAAATGCCACCCCTAATTATTTCTTCATTTTCAGAAATACGTGGCATCAAAAGACAGACTTCTGGTGTTGAGGATATATTTTCTGTTAGGGACTTTTTAGGGGTGAAAATGTAAAATAGGATTCCTGAATTTATACATTTGTTTAAAATTGTATCTTTTAGATACTTGGTATGATGGGGTAAAAAGACATGGCATAATTACAGATGCCAGTTGATGCAATGCCTTAGTGTGTTTATTTCAGTTGATAAGCTTTACTGCTGGTTCAGATTACAATTTTGTAAGGTGAAGTGTATCACTTTTAACCCCCCTTTGTTTAGATTTTCATTGATTTTATTAAGAAAACCAGATCATCTTTCTCCTACGATTTATTCTTTCAGGAAACAAAGCTATGTCCTGGGCCAACCCCATGGAGAATATTGTCACCCTTTCATGCCTGTTGGTACCAAAAGAAAAGTTGTCACATGGATGCCTAAGTAGATAATATCTTATTAAAATGAGAAATGCATAAGCTAGAGAAAAGCATTTCCTACTGTGTAGACGATAGTCCTAATGTGAGGCCAGCTATTTCTTTCTCTACTGTGTAGACCGATAGTCCTAATGTGAGGCCAGCTATTTCTTTCTCTGCAATAGCAGGAGTTGTGGGGTGAGAGGAGGTTTAATCTTTATAAAGCCATCTGGTGATGAATCAGCCAGCCAATTGCCAGACCATAAGGATAGACTGCCCTTAACATGTGTTTTAGCTCAAGTAATTGTATACACTGACTATCATTTATAGAATAATGATTTTTTCTCAGGCTTAATAATCTGAGTAAACCAGTTTCTTTTTATGGGTGATATGGTGCACTATTTTGTAGTTCTCTTGTTATACTGTCATATATCAAGTGCACTTACTTATTATTGCCTGTCTCAACTTAAGTATTATAGTAATTAACATCATTCAGACCCCTCTTGCCATCATTCCTCGATTTGAATGATATGTGAATAGGAACAACGTTTTAAAATATATATATATATATATATATATATTTTTTTTTTGAGATGGAGTCTTGCTCTGTTGCCCAGTCTGGAGTACAGTGGCGTGATCTTGGCTCACTGTAAGCTCCGCCTCCTGGGTTCACACCATTCTCCTGCCTCAGCCTCCTAATTAGCTGGGACTACAGGCGCCTGCCACCACAATCGGCTAATTTTTTGTATTTTTAATAGAGACAGGGTTTCACCATGTTAGCCAGGATGGTCTTGATCTCCTGACCTCGTGATCTGCCCGCCTCGGCCTCCCAAAGTGCTGGGATTACAGGCGTGAGCCACCGCGCCTGGCCTGAAATATTTTTAAAAAGCAGTAAAATGTATGTAATTTTAAACCTGTGTAGTGAAGCTGTGTGCTCTGCTCAATAGCTGCAGAGTTTTTCTTTGTTTCATGTTTATTTAGAATGTAAAACTTAGATATTTACATTTTAGTCCATTAAATCATGAAAAGAACTCTGATTTAGCAGGAAAGTCAGTTTTTAAAGTTAATGATAGCTTTAAATGTAAATGTAATGATAGTTCCATGTAAATGGAACTGTGATGCTGGGCCAGTGTTCACATCCATCTGACACCCAAGTGTCTGAGCTTTCAACTTTTCTCAGATTGCTAGTGAAAACAGCTTTATGTGACAAAAAGATAAAGAATAAGAAAGAGACAACCGAAGAGGACTATAACTAGGATTTTTTAATGGCTAGATTGAATTGCTGTCAAAGGTTAGATGATTAATTTCACCTCCTGCCCCTGGAAATTTCTAGGTTATCCTCACTTCAAGACTTGTAGCAGCTCCAAAGCTACTCATTCATTGAAAAATAGCTTGTCAAATGCTCACTGTAGATGAAACATTGGGGTAGGCTCAAGGGATACAAAGATGAAAAAGTGTCTCTGTATTTCAGCTCTGTGCTGGTTTAGAATGATACCATCCCTACCGTCACCATCCATGTCTGGAGTAATGACAACCTCCTGTTGTTCTAGTAACACCCTAGGTTTATCTCTGTCATGGCATCTACTACCATTCCCTGCAGTAGTGAGTTCCTTGAGGCAAGATATTTTTGTTTGTTTTATCTTTATGTGTCCTTGATCCTCAGAGTGTCTGGATTCCGCAGGCTTCTCAATAGCTGTTGAAAGAAGGGAGGAATGGAGGAAGACAGTTTTGCTGCCTTCAAAGAGCTCATCAACTTGAGGTGTAATCATATCGTTACAGTATAGAATTATTAATACTAAAAATGATACTTTAAATTGTAGCATAATGTTTGAACAAAATATTGTGGGACTACAGAGAAAAGTATGGCTAACTCTGCCCTGGGGGAATGGGAATAAACTTACCAAAAAGCAAATCTGTTAGTTTTGTACTTTCTCATACTCTTTGAGATTTCCTAAATGCTGAAATTGATAAGCACAGAAGATAGAGACTGATATAATTTTGTATTATGTCTAGTCTGCTTTCAAGAACAAGTACTACAGTATTAGAAGAGACACTGAAGGCCAGGCATGGGGGCTCACACCTGTAATCTCAGCACTTTGAGAGGCTGAAGCGGGTGGATTGCTTGAACTCATGAGTTCAAGACCAGCCTGGGAAACATGGCAAAACCCCATCTCTAAAAAAATACAAAAATTAGTCAGGTGTGGTGCTGCACACCTGTAGTCCCCGTTACTCAAGAAGGTGAGGTGGGAGCCTGGAGCTTGAGCTTGGGAGGTGGAGGTTGCAGTGTGCTGAGATCTTGCCACTGAACTCCTGCCTGAGCAATAGAGAGCCAGACCTTGTCTCAAAAAGAAAAAAAAAGAAGAAGAAGAAGAAGAAAAGACAGTGAGGATTGCTGATGTGGAAAAATGGAAGAATTTGGGGGTTTGCTTTAGGTGTATTATTAATCACTTTAAATGAAGTGCTGGAATTACAGGCATGAGCCACCGCACCCAGCATAAAGATGGTTTTAATTCTGTCATTGATGTATTTGTCTTCTGTATGTGTTTTTTCTTTTATTCTTTTATTATTGTCTTTTTAAAAATTGAACTTTTTTGTAGTGTATCATTTTGATTTCCCTTTCTTTCACTGTATATTTTTAATGTATTTTCTTAGTGGTTACCTTGGCGATTCCAATTAATATCTTAAACTTATAAACCTAGTTTGAATATATCAATTTAGTTTCAAGAGTATACAGATACTTTGCTTGTGCACATCTCCATTCCTCCCCCGTAATATTATAATTGTCACAAATTACACCTTTATACTTTCCAGTAACATATTATAATTATTGCTTTATGAACTTGTTTATTAAACCATATGGGAAAAACAGAAGTTACAAACCATATGAAAAGTATGAAAACAGTGGATTTATATTTAGCTTTATAGATACCTTTATCAGTGGTTTTAAAAATTTTTTTCACAGTTTTAAGTTACTGTCTAGTGTCCTTTCATTGCAGCCCAAATGTCTTTCACATTTTTTGTAGGGCACTGTACTGACAAAAAAAAAAACTGTGTCAGCTATTGTTTAACTAGAAATATCTTAATTTCTGCTTGCTTAAAAAAAATAATAATGATGATAATAATAATAATAATGATGATGATGATGATGATGATGATGATGATGATGATGCTTGAAAGATAGTTTTGCTGGGTATAAAATTCTTGATTGACAGTTTTTTTTTTTCTTCTCCTTTCCCACTGCTATCCCACTGCTTTCTAGTCTCCATAGTTTCTGAGAAGAAATCTGCTGTTTATCTTACTGAGGCTCCATTGTACATGAAGAGTCACTTCTGTCACTGTTTTCAAAATTCTTTCTATTTCTTTAGGTTCTGACAATTTGACTGTAATGTTTCTTGTGTGGAGCTCTTTGAGTTTATCTGCTGGTAGTTTATTGAGCTTCTAGGATGTGTGTATTGATGTATTTTGGAAGTATTTTTCCATTAAGACTTCAAATACTTTTCTGTCATATTTCCTTCTGGGACACCTATATGTGTATATTAGTATGTTTGATGATATCCTACTGGTGCCTCAGGCTCTGTTCATTTTACTTCATTTGTTTTTCTGCTTCTCATATTGAAGATAAGACAGCCTCACTGTTCTTATCTTCAGGTTCACTGAACCTTTCTAACTCCTCCTCATATCTGCTTTTGAGCCCCTCTATTGAGTTTTTCTTACTTCAGTTAGTCTGCTTTTTAGCTCCAGAATATGTTTGGTTCCGTTTCATAATTTCTGTCTTCCTACTGATATTCTCATTTTTTTCATACACTGTTTTGCTAATTTTTTTGTTGATGGTTTTCTTTAGCTCATTCAACATATTTAAGACAGTAGATAGTTGATTTAACACCTTCAACTAATAACTACAATGGGCTTTAACGGGAGAGTTTCTGTCAAATCTTTTTTGTTGTTTCTTTATTTTCATTATGTTATTTTTTGGTTTTTGAGAACTGTATTTTGTATCTTATTTTTATTTATTCATTTGTTTTGAGGCAGTGTTTCACTCTGTTGCCCAGACTGACGTGCAGGGCATGATCATGGCTCACTGCAGCTTCAACCTCCTGGATGCCACCATGCCCAGCTATTTTTTTTTTTATTTTTCATAGATATGAGGTCTCATTATGTTGCCCAGGCTGGTCTTGAATTCCTGGGCTCAAGGAATCCTCCTGCCTCCACCTCCCAAAGTGGAGAGATTACATATGTGGGCTACCATGCCCGGTGAGAACTAGACCTTTTAAACATTATGTTGTGGTAGATCTGGAAATGTAATCCTTCCACTCTCCAGGGATTGCTGAATCTTACTTGTTGAGGGTTAAAGTGATGATCTGTTTGTGACTTTTGTAAACTGTTTTTGCAAGGTGTGTAGTTTTTGTTATAATGTGGTCACTGAAGTTTCTTCTGTTTCCTCTGTGGTCAGCTATTGACCTGATAAAGATTGCTTTCAATATCTGGCCTCAAAAAGGAGAAAGAAAAACAAACACACACACATTGTCTTTATATAATAAATTCCTTGGAAGTTTCTTAGGTCCGTGGGTATTGAAGTAGGTGGCCAGCTTTTGTATTGGTTTCTCAGTAATCAAAAGCAACAATGAGATCATGCAATCCAGTATTTGGAAGACTAGTTCCTTTTTGTGTACCCTGGCTCCAGGAAGCCACACTAGGAATGCAGGAGGCTGTCTCCAGGCTGCTTCTTGGAGCTGTTGGGATTGTGGCTGTGGAATGAGTGATAGCTGCTACCATGAAAGATGGCAATTCCATGACATTTGTCACCCTCTTTTACCATACGCCAGAGTTCCAAAATAGTCACTTCAGATCATTTCTGTCAATTGCATCTTTAGATGCTATCTTCTTGGCCTTTTTTTTCCCTCCTTACAAGCAGGATACCTGAAATGCCGAAACGTAATGTATATATTTTTGCAGTCATTTAGAAAGCATGAGGGACTGGTAATTTAATTCAGAAAGCCTATTCAAAAACCCATGTCTATTTGACTAATCCAGAAATTCTGGAAAGAAATATACCTGCTATCACATCTGGTTAAGACCTTGGTTGTGTTCTGTACAAGTTGCAAACCCACAGGCTCCTTTCCCACCATTTAGCGGAACCTGAGTTGAGTCACGTGCCTTGGCTACTGAAGAAACCACCAATCAGGTTTTAGTTTTATCCATGTGTGGGTGTTAGTAATATCCAATTAGTAGAAAAAGAGTGTCTTAATACTGAGGGACCAGTCGGAAAGCTGTCTGACAGGGAGAAAGTCTCATATAAAAACAGACAGTAGCTTCCTGTTATATCACATTCCCACTCAGCAGAGAAGCTGTAAGTGGACTCAGGGTCATTCCCCAGCTCAAGAAATAAATATTCCACATCTTGAGTATTAATGTGTTTTGTTTGTATTTTTCAGAAACTATGTATTCTTTTAAGTCTTATTAAAGTCAAGATGAAATATGTAAAAAGCCATTGTTTTTATTTTATTTTATCCAACTGTATAATTATTGTATGTTTATATTGTACATATTAGAGCATATGAATAATGCTTATTAACTCTGGGACTTTGCTATATTAAGAAACTGTTTCTGTTATCCGTATTTGGCTGTCATGTTTTAGTTTACTGTATGTAGGCTGGATTTATTTTCTTTTAACATGTCTTAATATTGGGTTTTGTTTCAGTTCCCTTGAGTAAACGTGTAACTGTTGACCTGTTTATTCATGTTGTGTTTTAAAATCGTCCCCTGAAAATACAGTATGCAAATTATATACTATATTTAGATCGGAGGGCTTTTTTCTCCAGTAAAATTTGGATTCACCTTTATAGACTTGGCCAGGAAGTATATATTCTGAACCAGGGAAAGAAATGCTAAAAACCAAATTGACAAAGTAGACAGATGGAAGACCAACAACATCTGCATTAAGAAGTTGAGTAAATGGGAGATTTAATAATCCACATAAATCAACTATATCAAATAAGCTGAGGAGGGAGTACGAGTTGATTGTTGTAGCTTTACAGAAAATTATTTACTTGCTTTGATGAAACCCATTGTTTTTTCATGTGTGTATAGATAACATATGATATTCAAGATTTTACCTTAACATAAAGTTCTGCATTTTACAGGATTTTGGTTTAATATATAGAGATATATTTCTTATTGCAGAATATTTCATTTTACTGTAGTATAGTTTGCCTCTAATTCAAGTGTAGTAGAATATACAGTTGAATGGGAAAATATTTACAAGTATTATTCTTTTGATTCATAAGAAAGAACTTGAGTGCAAACTGACATTATTCTTATTTTACTGAAGAAGAAACTAAGGGACATGGGATAAATAGCTAGCCTAAGGTCATGCAGAATAAAAAGTGGTGGAACCAGGATTCAGACTCACATCTGTCTATATGACTCCAGGGCTTATTCCCTTAATGACCAAGCCCCATTCTCTAGGATAACTATTCTCAAAGCTCTCAGTCCAAAGGCCTTCGGTAAACCTTACAAGGGTCCACAGGGTCAAAACCTTTTTCGTAATGACATCAAAGCATTATTTGCCTTTTTTATTGTATTGACATTTGCCCTGACATTACAAAAACAATGGAAGTTTTTGGCTCTTTAGCATAGATCAAAGTAGTGGCACCAAATTCTCCAAGGAGTAATTGTATTCATCATTGCTGTATACTCCTGAGTTTGTTTGTTTGTTTTTTAAGCCAGTTTCACTTAAGAATGTTCTCGATGAAATGGTAAAAGTTATTAATTGTATTAAATCTGACCCTTGAATCACATCTTTTGAATATTCTATGTGACTAAATAGAAGTATGCATAGAGCACTTATGCTGTATACCAAAGTGCTGTGGTTTTCTGAAGGAGAAATTGTGTCCTTATGTGAGTTGTCTGCAGAACTAGACTCTTGATTTAATAAAATACCACTTTACTTTAAACAAATGACTGAGAGACACATTTTGGTTATATACACTTGGGTGTTTGACAGACAACGTGAGCTTGTCACTTCAAGGAATTTAAGTGACAGGATTTTTTTTTTTTGACCAATGATAATATTTGAGCTGTCAAGAGGAAGTTAGAATTTTAGAAAACTTGATTCTGCCATCATGAGCTTAACAGCTTCCCTGTACTTAAAAGACTTTTATGGTAAGATAGGTGGTAATATTAACGAGTGTGATGTTTTAAAATAGTATAATGAAACACGTCAACATTTGGAAGATCTTCATTACTCAGGAAATCAATATTTTCCCAAGGACCAATACGTGGTGTTACAAAATCCCATCAAAATATAAGATGGATTTTCTTTTTTTGTTTTTTTGAGACGGAGTTTCACTCCTGTTGCCCAGGATGAAGTGCAGTGGCGTGATCTCAGCTAACTGCAACTTCTGCCTCCCGGGTTCAAGTGATTCCCGTGCCTCACCCTCCCGAGTAGCTGGGATTACAGGTGCACACCACCATGCCCAGCTAATTTTGTATTTTTAGTAGAGTCGGGGTTTCTCCGTGTTGGTCAGACTGGTCTTGAGCTCCTGACCTCAGGTGATCTGCCCGCCTCGGCCTCCCAAAGTGCTGGGATTACCGGCGTGAGCCACTGTGCCTAGCCATAAGATGGATTTTCCTATAACATTGTGTGAAAAGTTCATTAATATGGTTTCAGATTCCATATTGCAAAAAACCTTCAAGAAATTACTGCTTATATAATTTTTATGTAGTATCAAAGAAATTACAAAATAATTACAATTATTTGAAAAGCCTATTAAATTACCTCTCCCTTTTCCACCTGTTTATGTGTATGAAGCCAGGTTTTCTTTATATAGTTCAAGTTAAGCAGTATATGGCAATGGATTAAATTCAAAGCTGATACCAGTTTTATTTTTTTAAGGTAGACATTAAAGAGATTTGCAAAATGTAAAATAGTGCTACTCTTCTCACTTATTTTTGTTTTGGAAAATATGGTTACTTTGTTATAGAAATGTTAGTAATTTTTAAATGAAATTGGGTTAATGTTATCTTAATAAATACCAGTTTCATTTTAATATGTAAACTATATATATACATACATATATGTGTATATATATGTACATGTCTATCTCTCTATAGATATATATATATCTAGATATATATATCTAGATATATATATATCTATAGAGAGATAGACATGTACATATATATACACATATATACACACGTATATACATATATATACGTGTATATATATAGATATATTTATATCTAGATATAGATATATATATCTAGATATATATATCTAGAGATAGATATATATACGTGTGTATATATATCTAGATATATATACGTGTATATATATAGATAGATAGATAGATATGTATTGCCCATGTAAACAAATGCTCTTTGGAGTTCATTTTTTAAAGAGTATAAAAGGGTCCCAAGAACAGAATGTTTCAGAATTGCTGTTCTAGGAAAACGTATTAAGACAATAAAGTACATGTGAGGAAAAAGAAATTGAAATTGCATTCTGTGGTTTACACCTGATAGACAAAAGAGCAATTTATTTGGTCAACATAGTTCTTAATCAGGTATCATATATACTTACTGAATTCATTGTGTCTTTCTCAAACCATTTGTACCTAAGACATTTATTGGTACAGTATTGCTATTTTTCTAATACTAACATGATGCTAACATGAGCATTTACTTGAGGATTATAGACCTTTATAAACTGTGCTAAAAGGCTTTCAGAAGTATGAAAACTATAAAAGTTTGCTAGTTGAGCACCCACTTACTGCCTTAGTCTCTTCCTTTTTAACTGGACTCTTAGTGGATTCCGTGGGCTTACTTCACTGATGAGAATTTAGTATATATGTCATTTCCTGGGACCTGTGGACAGTTCATTTAATTAAGTATAAATGTTGATGAACGCAGTTCTATTCTTAGGCCTTCCAGTGTTTGGTGAATAGCCACTAAAGCTAAAAATATCTGAACGTATATTTTTCTTCATGTTTCTCTTCAGGATGACGTAGCTTTGCCAAAGACTTAGAAGCTAAGCAGAAAATGAGCTTAACATCCTGGTTTTTGGTGAGCAGTGGAGGCACTCGCCACAGGCTGCCACGAGAAATGATTTTTGTTGGAAGAGATGACTGTGAGCTCATGTTGCAGGTAATTGTGTCAAGCTTCTCTATATGTGTTTATTCAAAACTTGAAATTAGTGTAAAATCTTTTTCTACTCCTTTAGAAAACAGTGCTATTTAGATTTGAACTTTCTCTCCTTTTAGCTCCAGCTATCATTCTAATTAATTTTTTGCCCCCTTGAATCATCTAAAAAAAGTTCTAAGTCTTGAAGATTCAATTTAGAAAAATAAATTCTCAGAATAAAGAAGTTTATTAGTAAGCAGAAAGTTTCACATTATATGCTTTTAAAATAAGACATTGCAAAAATCAGCATAGCATGGAGTAAAACTGAATTTTGATCACTGATACTTCAGTGATAATGGAAGTTAGTTTCATCACTTTTAGAGATGTTCATTATGATACCTGCCAGGAGTTCAAGCATAAGTGAAGATTGTTGACAATTTTTAAAAGTAAATTTTATTGTGTATATTTAAGGTATACAACGTGATGTTATGTGATACACACAGATAGTATAAAAGTTACTGTAAGTTACTCCAAGTAAAATGGATCCTCAAGAGTGCACAGCCTCAGGAAGAGGGTCTCTATAGGGGTAAGAATCAGATGGAGGAGGCATAGATTCTTACAGGGAAAACACTATAAAACAAGTTCATCCAACCTGAGGCCCAGGACGGCTTTGAATGCGGCCCAGCACAAATTCATAAACTTGCTTAAAATATCATGAGGTGTTTTTTTTGCAATTTTTTTTTTTTTTAGTTCATCAGCTGTTGTTAGTGTATTTTATGTGTGACCCAAGACAATTCTTCTTCCAGTGTGGCCCGGGGAAGCCGAAAGATTGGACACCCTTGCTATAAAAGGACAGGGACTGGAGTCTTTCATTCTTACCAGAAGTTTAAGTAACAGGAAAAAAAGGGCCTGGTCAAAATTGCCTATCTTTGCAGTTTTAAGCTCAGATCAGCTAAGGTTTTCCCATTAGTATCAGAAACGTGATTAAGTTAGCAGTCTTTGTTAGGATTTAAATTATGTATTTCTGAGAGATTTTTATTAAATTTTCATTGAAATATCCAAATGGGTTGTGAATATCAAGTTGTCATGCACCTTCTGGTTCAGTTTAATCTAGAGGAAATGTGAATTTGATTATATAGAAATGAAAACAGTTTAATGCTTAAGTGGTTAGATATCCATTACATATTCTTCCTATTCCCTCAGTTTTCCTTGACTCGGTCACTAGATGTATTATGTTCTGTAATCTTGGTCTTCTGCTTAATTCCTGTCATGGGTGCTGAAACACATTGATACTTTATATACATTTCATAATAACTAAAAACATAGGAATTTTTTTTTCATTGGCTGCTTTTTTAAAAAAATAGTTACACAAATGGGATTGTCTTATTCTGTGAGTACTAAACTGATCTTCTTTGCCTTGAGTTCCTGACTACTCTTCTTGAATTGTTACTGTCTTTATTAAACAAACAAACGATGTATTCTTGTGATCCCACATAACAGGCCCACTCCTCACTCCCTAATCCCCAGAGTTGTAATGGCATCTCACTCGACTCAGTGGACTCTGTTGTTCTCTTAGGTCTTAAGTGTGCTCTGTCTTTTGCTGTAGGTGTTTATGTACCGTCAGTGTTCACCATAAGCAGTTGGAGGGCGGGGTACATTGTAGATTAAGGATATTCCAGATTTCAAACAAGTTGTTCACTTAGTGAAGCAGCCTGTCCTAAATTACTTCCTCCCCAAATCACTTTTTCTCAATATCCCTCATCTGTGTTTATCACACTCCTTCGAAAGCCACCATTCTCTGGCTCCATGAGTAGCCATTTGACTCCTTTAGTCCTATATCTAATGGTAACATTTCACTTTGCTTTGGAATTTGCCTTTTCTCAACTCTAATTTAGATTTTTTTCTTTGAATTTCAGTCCATTGTCCAAAGGATTTCTGCCCTTTTCCTATGTACTCTTTTCCTCAGAGAGAGATTATTTATGAGGATCCATTCAGTATTTATTGAGAGCCTACATGTACTTGAAATCTCACTTCTCTTAACAACATTTGGAGGTTTTATCCTTAGACTAGATCAACTTGATACATCAACAATATGGTGAAATTATTTTGCTGAGTGGTGCGTTGTTGCTTCTTGCCAACTTAAGAACTGAATTTAGTATTTCATTAGTTTAACCAGATGAATAAAAATTCAAAGTAATGAAAACAAAAATGAATTTTAAGCAATTTTTAGATTTAATGCAGGAGTTTTTTTAAATCTCAAGTTGGTCCACCCTCAAGTCTCTAGCAATTAATCACTTCACCTTTAAGTTGTCCTACTGGTTGCTGTTTCTAGCGGAGGCTTCTGCTCCTGGCAAGCTGTGATTCTCTCTGTATTTGCTTGTCTCTCTACTTTTCAGGGTGGTAATTTGCCTTGTGACCTCAGGTCTCTGAAAAACTAAGATGAGTTTTTGGTTTTCAGTTTGTTCAACATTTTTCTTATTATGAAGATGGGAGCGATGACTTCAGATTCTTTCCATGTTGGACCAAAAATTGGAAGTCATGTCTGTTCCCCATTTTTGATACTCTCTTTGCTTTTAGTATACCAGGGTTCACACAGTAACCCCGTAATACATGGTGATCAAGTTCAGATTCACTGGTTCACAGACTGTTTCTTCTGTGACTATAATGATATTTCCTTTCAATACCAATTTCCACAGGCTTATCGTTCTGCTTTTGGGTGCTTCCATCTGCAGACAACTTACTAAGCTCTGGAGAGAGACAGAGAGAGAGAAAACTTTAAAAGAAACTTAAAAGCAATTTTCAAAAACCACAGTTTGCCATTAAAATACCTTTCTTTTGACTTTCAGTCCCTTTCCCTCTTAGAGCTGTCCCGTGAATTCCAGTTTTAGAGCCCATATTTTAAATGAAGATAATTTTGTTCTGAAACATGTCATATTGTGTCCCTTTTCCTCTAAATCTTTGGACTCTTTGAATAGTTTATGCTCATTTTTTGTTTTGAAAGAAGAAAATCCTACAAGGTAAATGTTTTTTACAATAAGATATGTAAAACATGGTAAAATTATAATTCACATGATTTCTCTATAACAGTTTTAAATTTAAAAAAATTAAGTTAATACATTCAGCGAAGTCAGCTGATGTAAATTCTTAATAGAACATGTGAATTTAGTAGAAAAGAATATCTTTAAAATTTTATGTTTTCCTCTTTGGGCAGTGATGCTAAAAAGATTTTGTTGTATAGTGGCACCGTTTTAATCTCATTTAATCCACACTTACTTTGATATTTCCCTATATTTACTGTCCTATTAATATTAGGTATCTAGCCAAAATGTGACTGGTATTTATTCTAGTATTTTCTTATATTTATTAACTGACAACATTCCTTTCAGTCTCGTAGTGTGGATAAGCAACACGCTGTCATCAACTATGATGCGTCTACGGATGAGCATTTAGTGAAGGATTTGGGCAGCCTCAATGGGGTAAGTCAATGGTTTATTTTTTGTCTTGTTTGAACATTTGTTTAATATTGTAAGAATAAAAATCAGATTACATTTCCTAGCTACATTTTCTTTTTCTTTACTTTGTATGTTATTTTCAAATGCTTATCAGGTACATAGCACTTTGGGGACCATCCAATAGAATATGAAACTAGCCCATATTCCAAAGAAACTATAAGCAGATGAATCCAGAAGGTGGTTGTCATTGTCTGTGATGGCTAAAGAAGACTTCTTTAAGGAGTTGGAACCTAAGCTTGACTTCACTATATGGCTGTAATTTATATGAGGGAAAACGGTAAAAAGTCATGGCAGTGAGAATGCAAAAAAGTACTCTCAGGGACAGAGAAGTAATGGTTAAGTTTAGAAAATAAAGATGGAGCTGGGGCCGGGCGCGGTGGCTCACGCCTGTCATCCCAGCCCTTTGGGAGGCCGAGGCGGGCGGATCACGAGGTCAGGAGATCCAGACCATCCTGGCTAACACGGTGAACCCCCTCTCTACTAAACATGCAAAAAATTAGCCGGGTGTGGTGGCGGGCTCCTGTAGTCCCAGCTACTCGGTAGTCTGAGGCAGGAGAATGGCGTGAACCCGGGAGGCGGAGCTTGTTGTGAGCCGAGACAGCGCCACTGCACTCCAGCCTGGGCGACAGAACAAGCAAGACTGCGTCTCAAAAAAAAGAAAAGAAAAGAAAGATGGAAAGGTGCCAGAGAGTAGACAACTTTCTCTGCTAGGGTAAAAAAGGTGAAACAACACAACCATTTGCCTTCACAAATATAGCACATTATCTAACCGCCATTGTTCATTATTCTTGGAATTCATACTTTGAATATATTTTTGTGTTACTGAAGTGAATTTTTTCTTATTTCTTCATTTGGTCTGTCTACATTTGGCATAATATAAGTAGCTACAAACTAAAAAGAGTGCTGAAGTATTGAATTATTTCTTTTATTTCAGTTTCTTCATTTGCTTATGGTTCTGCTAACACAAGCAAATACTGTGTTGTTCCTATCTGTGCTGCTGAAATTCTTAAAATGAATTTAACAGAAATAAGTGCATCCCAACTGCTTCAGACTATTCATGCTTTTCAAATGTACATCAAACATTATGTACAAGAACATGCAGAAATTTGGCAAATATGGTAATACATTTTTTTTAACCAATTCTGAATTGGCCTGCTACTGAAGGACTTTTATATTTATTCTTTGAGATAAATACAAATTTTTTGTAGGCATGTTTTCCTGTTGGTTTTATTCAAGCCTTTTTTTTTCTCTGTTGGTTTTATTCAAGCATTTTTTTTTCTCAAAGCATGTAGAATTAAGTGTATGTTCTTCATGTTTGCCCTGAAAACTCTCACATTTAGCATTATCCACCTTTCCAGATTGATGCTCCATCATTACATTTTCCCTTGCTCTTCTTCCAAACAGTAGTCTTCCTGCTATGCTATGTCTTTCTTCAAATAATTTGTTAGATTTTCTTCAGTCTACTCTTTCTCCCATCTGCCTTGCCATTTATAAAAGTTTTACACATTTTTTAAAATAAAGCTCAAATTCTACTTCTTTTTGAAGAGATGAAACAAAGGCCCGTTTACTTAGGAATTTTAACCTGCTGATGTTGACATGTTGAAAGGATTAAAATTAGCAGAGATAGGCAAAGTAGGTAGAAACTGTTGTAACATTAGGCATGAATGTTAGCAATTTTGATTCTCAACTCCTCTTTGCTAGAATTTCTCTCTTCCTTCTCCACACATAAGCCTTTGTGTCCTTGATCAGCCTGGTATTAAATCTACTTTTATACCTCTGTAGCTATGCTGACTTATGAGCTCCTGAATAAGTTCATGTGCCTTCTGCTTCTGTGACCACAGTGCCTAGCAGAGGGCTCTGCACAGTGCATGAACCCAGTAAATCTTTCTTTAGTGGAATTGAATTAATTTTCTACTTGAAGAATTTATAGTGAAAAATTTTAACTTCTATATGTGGAACATTTTGACAATGTTATATTGTCTTTAAGTCTAGAAAGTTTCATCTTGACAACAGATGAACAGTGGTAGTCTGTATGTCTTTACATTGTTATTTTGGAAAATAAGCAGCGGGAATTACATCAGCATTTTAGTCTTTTAAAAGCCTATGCTCAAATATGGAAATTACTTGGTATTGGTTCCAAAAATAATCAGGTGAAACATGACATTTTTCTAGGTTGGCCTTTCTTATAATTTGATTATACTCAATAATATTGTGAAAGATACTAACTCATGGAGAGCGACATCTGCATTTTAAGCTTGAAATCAGGACCAGGATTTGAAACTCAGATCTGTTATTTATCAGCAGTGTAACCTGGGACAAATCACTTAATCTCTCTGAAATTCAGTTTCCTCATATATACTACCTTCCAAAGTGTGTAAACATGTAATGAGTTGAAGTTTATGAAAGCAAAGATGCAATGCAGAATCTTGCTTCAGCTATTAAATGATGAAATAATTCCTGCTCTGTAGTATTGTTATGAGGATTAAATGTAACAGTACATTTGAGTGTGCGCTTAGTATAGAACTTTAAAGCATTACATAAATGATAAATATACTGTTACCCAAATGACAGCCTAAGAAACATGCCACAAAGGTCTTTAGCAGCCAAAAAATGTCAAAAGTCTATGAACTACCAACTATCATGCATTTTAGTCATAAGAGAACTTGTAGACTATTATTCGCAGCCTATTTACTCTTATTATCCATATTATTCTAGAACTTTAAGTATCAGGTTAAAAGTAGTACTTTTGGAGGTAGGAGGACACAGTGTAGTGGTTATGAACCCAGCTTTGATGTCACCTTGGACAAATTACCTAAGTTCTCTATTCCTCAATTTTTTAAAAAATAGAAATAATAAAATGGTACTCACAGGTTGTGTGAGCGTGTTGTATGTGTTGTAAAGATATAAATAAGCTAATAATTTTAAACAACAGTACATAGTAAGCATTCAGTAAATGTAAGTTATTTTTATTATGGTAAGAAAAGCAGCAAAGACAAGTTTAGCAACCTGTAGCCTATATACTTTTCAAAGAATTCACTGTTACTGTTTAGAAAAATCACTTACCAACTAAATTCAACTTAAAAGTGATCATTTCCACTCCTGTCCCCTTTCACCCTAGCCCAGAATACACTCCCAAGGGACCTAGATCTACAATTTACAGAATTGCCACCAGAAATGAGGTTGTTCTGCCTGAGAAAGCTACAGTCGGTTCCGTTGCTGATATTTTAACGGGCCATTTTCCTGCAAACCCATTGAAGGTTCTCTTTCTTTGGGAACCCCTGTTTGCCTTCAGTTCCCCCTGCCTCCTCCACTGGGGCCCTTGCCCCTCTGGTAGCCACCATGGCCTCTGCCCTACCCCTCCTGTGCCATTGCAAGCCTGCCATTTGTTACTGGACTGCCCCCATCAGCAGTCTGTGTTCCAGACACACTGTGTCCCCTTTGCACACTAGAGTTCCTGCCAGCATCAGACCTGTGTGGTATAGAGTAGAGAATGGTCTTCACTAAAGGTTGAAAGGAAAGGTTAGGGAAGGAGAGGAGGCTTTTGTAGCTGGCAGAGAGATTGAGGTGGTTGTGCTCTGTTCACTTTCCCAGATCATCAATACAATGTATGCTGGCTATATGATTTTATACTATCAATTGTGTCATGTAGTTGTATGTAAATTAAATAGGTATTTATTTAAGTTTGGTTTGCTTCTGTGGGGTTAGTGGTTTGAATGGAGGAATTTCGGGAGCTGGTTTAGCTTGGGCACCTAATCTTGATGTGGAACGCTCATAGGATTTGTAGTTCAGAGACCTGATTTCGAATCCCAACATTGCCACTTCTGGACTCCAAGATCTTGATGATTACTTCATTCTCTTTGCCTCATTTTCCTCACCACCAGGTCTCTACCTGGTGTGTTGAAATGGCACTGACAAAGAAACAAAACTCATTTTTTTTCCCGTATCTAAGTTATTAAAATTTGATCTAGTTAAATGATTTTTCCTCTGGCTCTTTGAAATTTTCTCTTTCCCATTGGTAATTTTAGACCTTCAGGAGACTATTTCCTCACAGATGTTTTCACTTGCATTTTTTGTGAACTGAAATTTTGTGTCTGGCTCATATTTCCTAAGCCTTTTTAGACTTTAGGGAATAGTTCTGTCATAAATGGCAGCATGTTAAAATTATATGTTTCTCGATCTCTGAAAGTGCCTAGTACACATGTTCAACACACAACAGGTGCTTAATATTTAAGAGAGTTATGCAATCTTAAACTTAAATGGATCTTCTAGGTCATCACAGGCCTTTTGAGTAAATGTGGTGTTTTAGGTTATTAGAGACAAGTTTCAAATAAAATTGGCTCAGAATTTCAGAACTGTAGCACTCCTCTTCAATACTGTATCTAGTTATCTTTTGCCTACCAGACATTAGTAAATTAACATTTTCTTTCATTCTTTTGCATCATTTTCCTCAGTTCTTCTGTTTTGTAATTAGAGTCATGCATCCCATAACGGCAGACCACATACACGGCAGTGGTACCATAAGATTATAATGGAGCTGAAGAATTCCTATCTGTGTTACAATTGCATACAATATTCAGTATAGTAACAGGCTGTATAGATTTGTAGCCTAGGAGCAATAGGATATACAATACAGCCTGGGTGTGTAGTAGGCTATACTATCTAGGTTTGTGTAAGTACTGTAAACTCTATAATGTTCATACAGTGAAGTAAATCGCTTAGTGATGTGTTTCTCAGAATGTTGCCCCATTGTTAAGCAATGCATGACTGTATCCTCCGAATACTTTAGTAAACTCAAGACATAAGTTTTAAAACACTGAAGTCTTCATTTTGGAAATGAACCTGAAGTTAGAGTTTATAAGTCTCTGAAGCCTTTGAATTTTCTTTGTATTACAATTTCAACCTTTCTTTAAAACATGTTGGAAGCTTGTGATTTAGGATTACTCATAAATCATTCTAGGATATAATCTAGAGTCTTAATGGTATTCCCCTATCTCTATATATATGCTTGAAACTAAGATTGTAACTTTTTCTGATTTCTTTTGTAGACTTAAAACTTATTTTATGGCATATTACAAAGAGCTATTTATGCATAGAAATATGAGAGTTTAATAACCTAATCCCTTTAAGTATTTTACTGTAACTACCTCATCATGGAAGGGCAGTCTTCTCAAATAAGCTATCATGGCCATCTCAAATCTAATAAAATAGAAGATGATAAAAGCAAAAAACCAAACACCAGATGTTCTCACTTATAGGTTGGAATTGAACAATGAGAACACATGGACACAGGAAGGGGAACATCACACTCTGGGGCCTGTTGTGGGGTCGGGGGGAGGGGGGCAGGGATAGCATTAGGAGATATACCTAATGCTAAATGACGAGTTAATGGGTGCAGCACACCAGCATGGCACATGTATACATATGTAACTAACCTGCACATTGTGCACATGTACCCTAAAACTTAAAGTATAATAATAATAAAATTTAAAAAAGGAAAGAATAAAGTAATTTTTTAAATTTCAGTTTATCAAAGAAAAACTTGTTGGGTGTTTATTTGATGTCTGCATAGGCAGTTAACCATAACCTTTGTTCTGTGTTCTATAAATTTAGCAAATTCTAGGCCCTTAACTCTCAGTATGCCAGTAAAGATAGTCATCACCATTTACCATCTGTATCTAGTATCAGGGGAACCTACCCCCGATAATTCAACGTTATTTCACATAGGTTCTTTTGTATTTCCCTAAGTGTCAGCTGGTCTGAGAAATAAAGGGAAAGAGTACAAAAGAGAGAAATTTTAAAGCTGGGTATCCAGGGGAGACATCACGTCAGCAGGTTCCGTGATGCCCCGCAAGCTGCAAAACCAGCAAGTTTTTATTAGTGATCTTCAGAAGGGGAGGGAGTGTATGAATAGGGTGTGGGTCACAGAGATGACATGCTTCACAAGGTAATAAAATATCACAAGGCAAATGGAGGCAGGGCGAGATCACAGGACCCAGGTGAAATTAAAAATGCTAATGAAGTATCATGTCCCACTGGGCACGCATTGTCATTGATAACATCTTATCAGGAGACAGGGTTTGAGAGCAGACAACCAGTCTGACCAAAATTTATTAGGTGGGAATTTCCTCGTCCTAATAAGCCTGGGAGTGCTACGGGAGACTGGGGCTTATTTCATCCCTTATCTCCAACCGTAAAAGACAGACATTCCCAGAGTGGCCATTTCAGAGACCTCCCACTAGGAACGCATTCTCTTTCTCAGGGCTGTTCCTTGCTGAGAAAAGGAATTCAGCGATATTTCTCCTATTCGCTTTTGAAAGAAGAGAAATATGGCTCTGTTCTGCCTGGCTCTCAGGCAGCCAGACCTAATGGTTATCTCCCTTGTTCCCTGAACATCGCTGTTATCCTGTTCTTTTTTCAAGGTGCCCAGATTTCATATTGTTTAAACAATTTGTGCAGTTAACACAATCATCACAGGGTCCTGAGGCGACATACATCCTCAGCTTACGAAGATGACGGGATTAAGAGATTAAAGACAGGCATAGGAAATCACAAGAGTATTGACTGGGGAAGTGATAAAATGTCCATGAAATCTTCACAATTTATGTTCAGAGATTTCAGTAAAGACAGGCATAAGAAATTATAAAAGTATTAATTTGGGGAACTAATAAATGTCCATGAAATCTTCACAATTTATGTTCTTCTGCCATGGCTTCAGCTGGTCCCTCCATTCAGGGTCACTGACTTCCGGCAATAATCCAGTGGACCCTTTTTTAAAAAAAATATTGTACAAATAATTTACAAAAGTAAAAATAAAAGGGTAATTAAAACAACTTGAAATTTTAATAAAAAATTAGACATGACAAACTCAAATTTTTATTCCATATTTTCCTGGTGTTTAAAGGTATATACTACCCAAAATGGGCAGTGTTGTTTGAATGCAACTAACTGCTCATCAGTTGACATGTATTCACCTGGAACATATATCCATCTTATAAATGTTGATTCCAGATCTCAAGTACTGTATGTCTTTAGTTAATTCTAGTGTATTATTTCTGGTGCTTCTTGTTCTTGCATGGTCAAAACACAGTGTTTTAAAAATTTTGGCTGGGCGCAGTAGCTCACCCCTGTAATCTTAGCCCTTTGGGAGGCTGAGGCAGGTGAATCACCTAAGGTCAGGAGTTCAAGACCAGCTTGGCTAACCTGGTGAAACCCCATCGCTACTAAAAATACAAAAATTAGCCAGGCGTGGCGGCAGGTGCCTGTAATCCCAGCTACTTGAGAGGCTGAGGCAGGAGAATCGCTTGAACCTGGGAGGCAGAAGTTGTAGTGAGCTGAGATCACGCCATTACACTCCAGCCTGGGCAACAAGAGCAAGACTCCATCTCAAAAAAAAAAAAAAAAAAAAAACTTTACAGCTTATAATTTTGTTAATAGGATAGCCATCTTTTTTCCTCCATAAAGTGCAAAACACTTATTATTTTTAGATTTATAAACAACAATTAGAAGCTCAATCCAATAATTTTATGTCTACATCATCTCTTCCAGTCACCTTTGTATAGATACTTGTGTTGAGAATATGTCCACTTACATACTATATCAAATAAGTATTGGAACACAGATGTGAAAAAAGAAGGCTGTCAATATTTCTTTTAAAATATGACACTTCTTTTAAAATGAGGCTGGCGATGGTGGCTTACACCTGTAATCCCAGCACTTTGGGAGGCCAATGCAGGAGGATTGCTTGAGGCCAGGAATTCAAGACCAGCCTGGGTGACATAGTGAGACCCCATCTACAAAAAATTTAAAAATTAGCAGGGTGTGGTGGCACAAGCCTCTAGTCCCAGCTACTGAGGAGGCTGAGGTGGGAGAATCACCTGAGCCTGGGAGGTCGAGGCTTCAGAATGAGATGTGGTCCATGCCACTGCACTCCATCTTGGGTGACAGAGCGAGACCCTGTCTCAGAACCCCAAAAACAAAACCCCCACAAAACCCAAAATCATTCAGATTCTTTTTGAAAAATACTACGTGATTCTTACTGAATGACTAACTAGATGAAAATTTCTTTTTTTTTCATGGACACATTCTTTCTCATTGATTCTTGCATTAGAGAAAATGTGTCTATGACTGTCTTCATTTGAAGACACAGAGTCTGATAATTTTGCTTATGCTATCAGCTTTATCAACATTATCATAGTGTAGAATCCCACTGTCTCTTGTATTTATCTTATAATTATGAAATATCTTCCTGTTTTCTTCTCTTTGCCTTTATGAATGTTAAATCAGAAATTCTGGATTTTCAACTGTGCTCTTTAATAGGTGAAAAAAGAAACCCCAAAATGTATAAAGATTTTATCTCCAGATGTCTTTTATACCTTCTTGGAAAGATGAGGAATATTTTGGCCACTGCAGTAAGATAACTAAAGAATGATGAAATAGTGATTTATTTCACTATTGCATCATGCTCGTAGGTCTGTGCTTTTCACTACAGTAGCCACTAACCATGTGTGCCTGTTGAGCCCTTGAAATGTGGAGTAGTCTAAATTTTAAAGACATAGTACCAAAAAAAGAAAAAAAAAAGAATATGAAATACCTTGTTAGTTTTTATATTGGTACTTTACTGAAACGGTACTATTTTGGATATATCAGGTGAAATGTATAATATTAAAACTAATCTCACCTCTATCTTGTTTCCTTTTTTATGTGCCCACTAGAAAATATAATTTGGCCAGGCATGGTGGCTCACACCTATAATCCCAGGATTTTGGGAGGCCAAAGTGGGCATATCATTTGAGCCCAGGAGTTTGCGATCAGCCTGGGCAACATAGGGAGACCTTGTCTCTACAAAAAATACACAAAAATTAGCTGGGCATGGTAGCATGCACCTGTAGTCCAGCTACTCAGGAGGCTGAGGTAGGAAAATCACCTGAGCCCAGGAAATCAAGGCTGCAGTGCACCATGATCGCACCACCGCGACCCTGAAAGAAAGAGAGAGAGAGAGAAGAAAGAAAATATAATAGTAAATGTGGCTTACAATATTTTTTTGTTGGTTATTGCTTCTGTTATTCTTTTGTCTTATTATTTGGATCACTTTTAGCGTTGTTTGGAATAATTGATGAGTAAATATTAAATAGTTGCTAGGATGATAAAATGGCAGAATTTCAACATATCAGAAAAATAAGATCACTGAAACCTTATAATGTATGTGATTCCTAAAGGGATCCAAAGGACCCATATGACAACTGCAAAATAAATTGAGTTTTATTCTATTTTCTTAAAGTAAATTTTCTTCTTCTTCTTTATAATAATTCCAAAAATAAAAGTAATGAAATGTCAATGCTTACACATAGACAGAATTTCTCAAAAAGCTAAAATTGGGTTGAGCAAACCCTGATGGTATATTAACAGTTAAATATTTTACCCTTTGCGGTTTGCCAGCTTTAGATTAGGAGCTTTTCTTGGCACCATTTTTAGGAACTATTCTAAGTGCCTAAATTCATCTTGGCAGCACTGGGTTCTTTGTGTGTTACCAGTAAGAGAGATAAAAGGCTTAGTATAAAATCATTTATCAGCCTACAGGCTGCATGGCACATCTTATGATACTCAGGCTGTATTAGCCACCGTATGATATGTGCTTTTAACTCTCAGATTTGAGAATTTGCTTATCTGAAATGTAAGAATTAATACCTCATACGTAACCTAACATCTTTTTTTGTTTCCTTGTAGACTTTTGTGAATGATGTAAGGATTCCGGAACAGACTTATATCACCTTGAAACTTGAAGATAAGCTGAGATTTGGATATGATATCCTTAAATGGTTTTATGTACTTATTAAATTTATTCAAATATGTTTACTCTGGTTTAAGTTAACATTTTTAAAACACAATTCACAATATAGATATGCCAGAATTTCTATTTATTGGGTGCATTCCTATACTAAAATACATATATATTTTTAGTTATTATGCCTGTTCCTAAAAGTAATCATGGAAAAGTTGGTGGACTCAGCTTTTTTTTTCCCTCTCTCTCTCTATTTATGTAGTTTCAGCATCAGTCTCACTGAAGTGCTATTGCATATATAATTTGAGCATCAAAGAATGTAACTGGGGAGAGGACAGGGGAATGTTTAATTTTAGTCCAGCCTAGGGATTGCTTTCAGGTGGAACATGATGCATGAATCAGCCTCCTGGGATGAATGTAAGAATTTAAACCTACTTTTCCTTCCATCCCTCCCGTTAACTGTTTTATGCATCACAGCTATATTGCCTATTAAATTCAAACTTTTCAATATCCTGTGTCTTCTAAGACCTACGCTCTCTGATTAATCCACATTATGCATTTAGTGTGTATTTAAAATTCTTATGTTTAAAATTAGGAATCTAATAATTGAACAAGGACATGACTGTATTAAACTGCATGGGGCAGCGTGAAGAATCTCTAGTGAAGGGAAGGAGCATGATTGCAGAAGAAGAAAGACATTTCCATTCATAGTAGGCAAGAAGCTTTGTAAAAAGGATTTATGTACATTTAATTAAAATACAGCTATTCCACATAATGCTGAAGGTTGTTTTTTTTTTTTTTGAGTTTTAGTTTTTTTGAATTACTACTTTTATTGGGACTTTGGTAATAAAGAATGTATTAAGCATAGCAATTTGGATGGACTTTTGTCACCGTAGCAGAAAAAGCATAGTCTCAGCTAAATAGAGTAGATGCTTAAAGTAAATGTATTAACACTATAAAATTGTTCCTTGACATTTACGAGAAATAGTCCAGGTGCTGTGGCTCACACCTGTAATCCCAGCACTTCGGGAGGCTGAGGTGGGCAGGTCACGAGGTCAGGAGTTCGAGACCAGCCTGACCAATGTGGTGAAACCCCGTCTCTACTAAAAATACAAAAAAATGTTTTAAATAACCAGTCATGGTGGCACGCATCTGTAATCCCAGCTACTCCAGAGGCTGAGGCAGGAGAATCGCTTGAACCCAGGAGGCAGAGGTTGCAGTGAGCCAAGATCACACTACTGCACTGTAGCCTGGCAACAGAGAGAGACTCCATCTCAAAAAAAAAAAAAAAAAAAAAAAAATTACGAAAAATAATATTACAATTTTTTAAATTTTAAATCTAAAATTAAAGTTTTGTAGCATACTTTATAATGTTCACACTTGCAGAGCCAAAGGAATATACAAAAAGCCAAACCATTAAATAGTAATACTTGTATATATTTTAAGTCTTTAAAAAAAATGCTTCATGCAAAATAATTAAGAATTAGCATTAAAGCCTTAATGAATGGGTGTCATTTTCTACCAGCCTAAGTTTCATCAAGAACAAATACAAGTATATTTTGAATTTAGATACCTCCTTTAATCCATTTGGCATCAACTGTTTCAAATCATGAGAAAAATACTAGGAAATTTAAGTTTTAGTAAAACTCTGTCAAGTTAACTTTGAATTTTATATCAAGAAGAAACTATTGAGAAAAAAACCTCATGCTTTTACACAATAGTATACTATTTTCTTAACAGCAAACAGACATTTTTCTCTTACGTACCAGCTCATAATATGTCTGTCTAAAATTGTTGGGACGGATGTTTTGTCCCAAAGACTTTCTCAGAGTTGTGCACTTAGTGTTGAGCCATAACTACTGTCTGGATGCCCAGAGGAGGCACATATAATTTTATTATTTTAAAATAGCATCTGTTAGCCAGCCACGGTGGCTCATGCCTGTAATCCCAGCACGTGGGGAGGCTGAGGCAGGCGGATCATGAGGTCAGGAGATTGAGACCATCCTGGCTAACACAGTGAAACCCCATCTCTACTAAAAATACAAAAAAATTAGCCAGGCATGGTGGCGGGCGCCTGTACTCCCAGCAACTCAGGAGGCTCCTACCTCCCACCTCAGTAGGAGAATGGTGTGAACCCGGGAGGCGGAGCTTGCAGTGAGCCGAGATCGTGCCACTGTACTCCAGCCTGGGCAACAGAGCCAGACTCCGTCTCAAAAAAAAAAAACCATCTGTTATAGTGGCAGAAATTATATTATATACGTAATTTTAAAAGCAGGTTTTATATATTTACTTGTTTCTGTATTTAGCTATGCTAGATTGAAGACATTTTTGTACTTTATTCTAATTAAAATTAATCTTAATAGGCAGTCTATAAACTGCTATACTTTGGAGAGGAAAACTATTTTGATTAAAAAGCTACAGCAGGCTGGGCGCAGTGGCTCACACCTGTAATCCCAGCACTTTGGGAGGCCAAAGTGGGCAGATCAGTTGAGGTCAGGAGTTCAAGACCAGCCTGGCCAACATGGCGAAATCTCATCTCTACCAAAAAATACAAAAACTAGCCTGGCATGGTGGCAGGTACATGTAATCCCAGCTACTCAGGAGGCTGAGGCAGGGAGAATTGTTTGAACCTGGGAGGCGGAGGTTGCAGTGAGCCAAGATCGTGCCACTGCACTCCAGCCTGGGTGACAGAGCAAGACTCCGTCTAAAATAAATAAATAAATGAAATAAAATAAAATGCTACATCAATAGAAGGAGCAATTTAACATGGATCAAGACTAGAATTAGGCAACATAAGTCTTTTTTGTAACTGGAGAAATAAGTGATTTGGAAAAGCACATACTCAGTGAAATATACAAGCTTTTAAAATGACCGTAAACTCATAAGGAGTACTAAAATGCTGCAGTAATCAAGAAAAACTTCAAAAAGTGGTAATAAATCTTCAGGTAGCCAAAAATGAGGCTGATAAGGAAAAGTTTATTCATTTCCTAATTATTTATTAAATGTCTCCTATGTGCCAGGCATAGTCCCAGTGGTTTGGGAAATATAACTGTGAATAAAATAGATCATAATCACTGTTCTCCTGTAGCCTACACTTTAGTGGGGTTGAAGGGACTGACAGCACACACTAGAAGTGAGGGTATTAGAGGATGGTAAGTTCTATGGAAAAAAGTGAAAGTGGGAGGCAGAGAGCTAGTGTTGGTAAGTGGGAAGTTAGAGTTTTAAAAAGAATATTCACGAAGACCTCAATGAGAAGCCAGCACTGGGGCAAAGATGTGGAGAAAGTAAAGAAGTTAGCCATATGGATATATGGAGATATTGTCCTGCAGACAGATGAGGGTATAGTACAAAGGACTTGAAGCAGAGACATGTTTGACATATTGGAGGAATAGCATTTAAAAGCCAGTGTGGTTGGAGCCAGCAAAGAACATGAGTATATTAGGAGTCAGAATATATCAGTTCTCGTAGGACATTATAAGGATTTTGACTTTTATTCTGAGTGAAATGGGTAGTCTTTGGAGGCGTTTTTGTTTTTGTTTTTTTTTAATCGGAGTGATAAATGACATACATCTAAAAAGATCCTCTGGCTACTCTTGTTCAAAGAAAACTAAGGGTGGAGTGGGCAGGGGTATGAAAAGAGAGACCAGTTAGGAGGCTATTGCAGTAGTTCAGGTGAACGGTAAAGGAGGTTTGGACCAGGGTGATATATCTGGAAGTAGAAATGAAAGGATTCTGTGTATATTTTGAAGATGTAGCCAATAAAGTTTTCTGATTAGACTGGATGTAGAGTAAGAGAAAGAGTCAAGGATGAACCAGAATTTAGGCCTGAGCAATATGAAAAAGGAAGGCATCCTTTTAATAACTGATAGAGAATTCTGTAGGTAGAGCAAGTTTTGTGGAGAAAATGGGAAGAATCATCTCAAAATACTAGCTTTAGACTTAACCAAGTTTTCACATTTTTCTGTTTTCTATTTGATTTCTGTTACCTTTATTCTAAACTTTTTTCTAGGTAGGAGCTGAGGTCATTCAGTTGAGACCTTTCTTTTCTAATACTGGTGTTTAGAGCTATAAATTTTCCCCCAATTACTACTTTAATGTTTCTAATTTCCTTTTTTATTTTCTTCTTTGAGTCACAGATTATAAGTTTGTTTAGTTTCCAGATATTTGGGGAGTTTTCCAGATATATTTCTGTTACTGATTTCTAATTCCATTTTGCTCAGAGAACATACTTTGTATGTCTCAAATCCTTTTCAATTTATTGAGACTTGTTCTGTGGCCCAGAATATGTTCTATCTTGGTAAATGTTCCATATGTACCTAAAAAGGATATGCGTTCTGCTATTTGGGGGTTGGAATGTTCTATAAATGTTAGTTAGGCCAGGTTGGCTTGGTGGGTGTTCAGGTCTGCTGTATTTTACTGATTTATTGTCTTCTTACTCTTTCAATTATTAAGAAAGGGGTATTGAAATCTCAGGCTATAATTATGGGTTCGCCCCCTCCTCCTTGCAGAACTTTTTGCTTTGTCATTTGCAGCTCTTTTATTAGTTGCATAGACAACCTGGATTATTATGCTATCTTGATGAATTATCCCCCTCTATCATTATGCAATGACCTGCTTTATCCATAATAAGATTCTTTGCTCTGAAATCTAGTTTGTCTTAATATTATAGTTGTTCCAGCTTTCTGTTGTCTACTTATATTTTTAATTTTTACCCTGTTTGTCTTTACCTGTAAAGTAGGCAGCATATAGTTGTTCTTACTTTTTTATCTGATACGATAATTTTTACTTTTATTTGGTGATGTAGGCCATTCACATTTATTGTGATAATTGATGTGGTTAGTTTTAAATCTATCATCTTGAAATTTGTGTCCTGTTTGACCCATTAGTTTTATGTTTTCTCTTTCCCTGTTTCTGATTTCATTTGAGTTATCTGAATAGTTTTTATTATTTCATTTTATCTCCTTTGTTGGCTTATTTGCCGTAATTTTTTGTTGTTGTTTTAGTGGTACCTTTAGGACTTATAATTTGTCTTTAATTTCAAGTTTTATCTTCAAGTAACATTATACCACTTTACATATTGTACAAGAACATTACAACAGTATACTTTCGTCTTGACCTTTGTGCTATGATGTCATGTATTTTATTTTTATGTGTGTCACAAACCCCATACTACATTGTTATTAGTAAAAAGTCAATTGTCATTTAAAGAGGTTTAAATAATTTTTAAAATCTTAAAATACATATTTTAAAATACATATTTTTATACCCATTGTACTTATGTCTGAAACCCACGAACCTTCCATTTCTGGTATTCTTCATCCCTTTGTACAGATCCATATTTTCACATAATGTCAGTTTGTTTCTACCTGATGGACTTCCTTCAACATTTCTTGTACTATGGCTTTGCTGGTGATGAATTCTGTCAGCTTTTATATGTCTAGAAAAGTATTTCATCTTAGTTATTGAAAGATAATATTGGCCGGGCATGGTGGCCCACGCCTATAATCCCAGCACTTTGGGAGGCTGAAGGCAAGCGGATCATGAAGTTGGGAGTTTGAGATCAGCCTCGCAAACATGGGGAAACCCTGTCTCTATTAAAAATACAAAAATTAGCTGGGCGTGGTGGCACACACCTGTAATCCCAGCTACTCCGGATGCTGAGGCAGGAGAATCTCTTGAACCCAGAAGGCGGAGGTTGCAATGAGCCAAGATCGTACCTCTGCACTCCAGCCTGGGCAAAAGAGAGACTCCATCTCAAAAAAGAAAAAAAGTTACTGTTGCTGGGGATAGAATTCGAAATTGGCTTTTTCTTATTTTTAGCACTTTAAAGATGTTGCTCCACTGTATTCTCACATTATTTTCCTTTGTCCCTGGCTTTGAACTGTTTGATTATGATGTGTCTTGGTGTAGCTTTCTTCTTCTTTCTTTTTTCTTCCTTCTTTCTTCTTTCTTTTTTCTTCCTTCTTTCTTCTTCTTTCTTTTTGTTTGTTGTTTTTTTGTTCCTCCCTTGGGGTTTGTTGACCTTCTAAAATCCTGTGGCTTTATAGTTTCAATCCAATTTGGAAAAAATCTCCATTATTTATTTTAAAATTTGTTTATCTCTTCTGGGTTGATTTCCATTGATTAATTTTTACACTCATAGTAATTTTTTATTAGATGGCAGGCATTGTGAATTTTACTTTGCTGAGTGTTATGCATATTTTAGTATTTATATAAGTATTTTTGAGCATTCTTCTGGAATACAAGTTACTTGGAAACAGTTTTATCACTTTGAGTCTTTCCTTTAAGATTTGTTAGGCTTCTAAGATTGTTCTGGGCTAATTATTCCCAACTACTGAGGCAAGACCTTTCTGTATGTTCTACTGTGGGGGGTCAGTAAACTCATTGACCAAATCTGGTCCTCAGGCTGTTTTGTTGGAACATCGCTATGCCCAATCTATTAACATATTTCTGTGGCCACTTTTGCTCTACCGCTGCAGAGTTGAGTAGCTGAAGCAGAGATCACGTGGCCTGAAAAACCTGAAAGATTTACTATCTGGCCCTTTACAGAAAAAGTTTGCTGACTTGTGCTCTACCCAGTGACTCATGAATCATGCATGAGGTTTTACAGTCTAGCTGTTGAGAGTAGGTACTATTCCTGGCCCTATGTGTGGGCACTGGGTACTATTATCTCTAATATTTTCCAGAGACTGAAAATCTCTGGAATTCTCTTTCTGTGCAGGCTTGTCTTCAGTACTCAGTCCTGGGAATTCCAGTAATGTTGATTTGCTTGGACTCTTGACTTCATTTCCATCACAACTCAGGGAGTCTGCCAGGCTCTGTCTGGATTATTCTTCCTCACAGTGTGACCTAGAAACTTTCACAGGGCAGTGAGTTGGGGCAGTGATTGGACTCTTGCTTTGTTGCCCTTCTCTGGGAGATCATTGTCTTTTGTTGCCTGATGCCAATTGTCTTGTAAAACATTGTATCATGTGTTTTACCCATCTTTTAGTTGTTTAATGTAGGAGAATAAATCCAATTCTTTTTACTCCATCTTATCCAGAAGATTGAGAAGTTGATTTGGGGCATGTTGAATGTAAAGTTGAATCCAGGGGTGAAGTAGAAGCTAAAGATATGAATGTGGGGATTTTTATTATATAAATAATATTTAAAACCATAAGACTGAATGAGATCATTAAGGGAATGAATATAGATTGATAAGAGGTTCAAGGACTGACACCTGGTACATTCCAATATTAAGAGATGGGTGAGATTAGGAACCAGTAAAAGAGACTAAGGAGAAACCACTAATGTGCTAGGAGGAAAAGCAGAGTATAGTATGGTTTCCACATTTTGTGGGAAATTATTTACACATTACTTAAATATCTTGAATCACAAGATCCACCCGCCAATCATTTTAATCATGTAAGTCATCATAAGTAAGAACCCAGTACCTTCTATTTTAAAATTGTGATTTATGTATTTTCCCAAAGAAGTTGTATATTCCTGCATAATGGCCCACAAAATGATTGGGTTAGTCATATTAGAAACCAGGTTAAAGAAAACTCCAATACATCATATCATAGCATCTAAAACTATAATTAATCTGTACTTCCAGCACTATATATACCACTGTTTGGTAGGCTGTCAAGATAACGGCTGCTGAATGATCAAGGGGAAGTTAAATGTAAGCAAAAATTAAGAACTTTCATTCAGAGAAGTTAAGATTTTTCCTTATCTATGTGGTTGATATCCATAACAAAACATGAGCATATTAATATTTTTCAAATTTCAAAAATAGAGGACATTTCTCAAAGCTTAAAAGAACTAAATTTTAAAAATTAATGGAAATGAGCTTTTTTGGATGAAAAAATGAAGTGATAGAGAAGTTTAAATCAGTTGTTTGAAAACTATGTTTTTAAAGAACAGGATCTTCTACAAGTTGGAAAGATAATCATCTCCTAAAATAAAATGATACCTTTTTTTGAAGGTATAGGCAAAATTAAGCAGATAGATAAAATTTTCCCCTTAGAAAGTTTCCTGCTGTTAACTTTCTTTTAAACCCTTATTGTCTCCTAGGACCTACCTTACTAATTCTCTGTGGACTCTAATTTATCATAATTGTATGTTTTATTATCAATTGTTGTTAAATGAGGGAAAATTTCCATATTTGTAATGAAAAGGAAACATTTTTGGGTAACCTTAAGAATTTCTAGGGATAGCCTTATTATATGTTTTTTTAAATCACATGTATGAAATATATTAATTTTGAAAAATATGTTTTTCTGATCTTTCCTTGTATGAAATAATTTTATTCAGGTTTTCTTAATTATCTGACATGATTTTTGAAAGATATGTTTACAGTGATATCTGACACTTCATATTTTAGGTCATACCCCTTGGAATAACTAACGCTGTTTAAAGTTTCGCTCTGTTTTTTATTTTGTCATTAAAATAAAAGAGTGGGAGGAACCGTATCTAAGAACACATTACTAGTATTCAGGGGAGTTTCCACAGTCCTACTTTTAGATAAACATTTCTTGAATAAATTGACTTAGGTCAGTACAGGGGGATGGCTTAGAATAGCAATCATAGTTTTATATAAAGAAGTGGAGAAATAACCTGTCAAATTATGATTTTTTAATAAGCAAGAATTCAAACTTTTTATAACTTACTGATATCATGCGTTATTCTACCTCTGTTTGTCATTTTTCTTGATTAGCAAGTTAAAAATAGCTACATAGGCCTGCACCACTAAGAAGATGGTAGCCTTGGAGGGAAAAGCTGGGGCTAGAGCAGTCTCCAGATCTCACAGTTACACCAGAGTTCCCAGATGAATTAATGACCCAAACAAGAGGCTTCTTGAGGTCTTCTTCGTTTCCACACACACAAACATTTTTGGAAGGTAAAATGTTTGAACCTGAGAAGGATGGCTCCTCTCAAGCTCTCCATGACCTGAAGAGTGTCTAGGTTTAAAGAGGATACCCCAGACGAGCCCTGGGAAGTTGCCTTCAGGCACTCCCAGGAGGTAAGCTTGAAGCACCCGAAAACCCTCACAACAGGCTGAAATCACTTGTGTTTTCCATGGAAAAAATGGTAATGACTGTCCATTTTTAATGCCTTTTTTCATAGAAAAAGTAGGAATGCTATGAATTTTCTCTAGCTGTTTATGAGTTTTTTGCGGATAAAACAAAGTTACTAGACAGTATTATTATTATATTTAAAGCAAAGTTTTTACCATAATATTGCTTCAGGGAACTCACATCTGTAACCACATCAGATAGAAAGCAATTTTCAGAAAAGAATGAAAAACTTCAATAATATCTGCAGTAGTCATGCCCTAGTGTTTTTCTATATTATATATATGTGTTTATATAATTCATATTATATAAATATGCGAATGTATGTATACTTATTAAATTCTAGGTTTTTTCTTATAATAGCTTAATCACATTTTTTGTCTTTTTAAAGAAATTTCAATAGCTTTAGGGATACAAGTGATTTTTTGGATACATGGATGAATTGTGCAAGGGTGAAGTCTGGGATTTTAGTGTACCCACCACCTGAGTAGTATACACTGTACCTCAATAGGTAGTTTTTCATCCCTCACCCCGCCTTCCGGCTTCCCCACTTCTGATTATCCAGTGTTCATTATACCACTCTGTATGCCTTTGTGTACCCATAGCTTAGGTCCCACTTGGAAGTGAGGACATGTGGTATTTGGGTTTTTGATTCCTGAGTTACTTTACTTAGAGTAATAGCCTTCAGTTCCATACAAGTTGCTGCAAAAGACACTATTTCATTCTTTTTTATGGCTGAGTAGTATTCCATGGTGTATATATACCACATTTTCTTAAACCACTTATCAGTTGATGGGCATTTAGATTGATTCCATATGTTTGCAATTTAGACATTATCTTTTATTAAATATACTTAGTTATGAGATGTGTATTTCCATATGTACCAGCAAATATATACCAGTGTATGAATGTGACAAAAAGGAAAATTTTAATATTTCAAAGCTATAGGAAAAAGCAATGTAGATTAATAGGAGAGCCCTGGCCTGGGATTCAGTTGACTAGACTCTTGTTTTGGTTTCTGTCCGTCCATTACCCAGGTTCTTTATTTATGAAACAGGAGGGACTAATGGAATTGAACAGAATATTTCCCAAAACTCTTCATATTTACAATTCTGAATTTTTATTATTTTAACAAGTAGAAACCTAGAATAAATACTCACAAGTTTCCTACTTCCCTTATGCTTGGGAAGTCATCTTTTTCCCCCAAGTAGTCATGATAGTTACAGCTTTCTACCCTCGAAGTCATGAGTGCTCTGAACTGGTAAGGAATAGAATTTAGTACATGGTTATAAAAGTCCTCTCATTACAGAGTTAAGTAATGGTGGGAAATGTGACCTCTACTCTTTAGTGAATAGATCTTTTTAATATACAGAGGCAGTGTTCTTTTTGGTTTAATAATGAAGGCATTCATTGTATCTAGCACTTGGTTCTAATCTCATCTTGGTATAGTATCCATTGTTTGATAATGTAATACGACCTTGATTGCAATTCATGGGGAACAGTCATGGTTGTGGTTGCTGTAAGGACCCTAATTATAGCATTTCTTTTGCACTTGCAAAATGAACTTCATTTTTATCAATGCTTATGAAGTTTGAGTAATCAAATTCTTTTAGGAATTGCTGTTGGTTAATCATTGATGAGATATTTCCTTACATTTTTGTGATTAGCTCTCAATATAATTTGATGCATGTACTTTTTCTTTGTAGTTATCTCATATTATTGTTAGTGAAAATTGAAAATGTCTCTGTGCTCTGATAAATTACCCAGTTGTTTGCTTCTTGAGGGCCACCATTACTTAAAATTAGAAAACTTGCTGGATCTTAAGATTTTTAGTATTTTAAAATGAAAATGTTTACATTGGTGACCATATTTTAATATTTAACTATTCAGGGGAAATATAATAATTCTGCTGTAGTTACCTGTTGAAATAGAACAATTTCTAAATTACATTTGATGACGATTTTTAGCTCAATTATCAGAAATTTGAGGTTATATTCTTCCTTAGCCCCGTTTACATACAAATCTTTTCACTGTAGTACAAGGAGAAATGAGGGTCCCTGAAGAAGCTCTTAAGGTAACAGTTTTTACTTAACTTCTTTTGCAAATCTACTCTTCACTATGGTTGATTTTACTTCTTGATGTTTCACTTCCATTTTTAAATGTTTTATAGCATGAGAAGTTTACCATTCAGCTTCAGTTGTCCCAAAAATCTTCAGAATCAGAATTATCCAAATCTGCAAGTGCCAAAAGCATAGATTCAAAGGTAGCAGACGCTGCTACTGAAGTGCAGCACAAAACTACTGAAGCACTGAAATCCGAGGAAAAAGCCATGGGTAAGCTGGCCTCTCTCGAAAGACCATCTTTATACTTGATCTTGAAGACACTGCATGCTTTGTTCTCAGAAAGTTGGCTATGTCCATATAAAAATAATTTATAATAGTGATAATTTCAGAGTGTGTTTTAATGCTACCAGTGCTTTCATTAGGAAACATTATAAAACACATAATTATATATAGCAGTTATATATAGGTGTGCTTAATATGTTTAAATGTTTAAGAGAAGTAAATATGGTCATCCTTCAGTATCCGTGGGGGACTGGTTTCAGGACTCCCATGAATACCAGAATTCACGATGCTCAAGTTCCTTATGTAAAATGGCATAGTATTTGCACATAACTTGAACACATCCTCCTGTATACTTTAAATCATCTCTAGATCACTTATAATACCTAATACAATGCATACACCTCACTTCATTTGTTTAATAGTACTTGGCATAAGGCAAATTTAAGTCTTGCATTTTGGAATGTAGTGGAATTTTTTCCCCCAAAACATTTTTCATCTGCAGCTAATTGAACCCATGGATGCAGAACCTACAGATTCAGAGGGTTAACTGTGTAGTTTACCTTATAATATTTTTATTATTTCATGTTTGTCTGCATTTTCTTCTGCAGCATAACAACGAAAACGAATTAAAAGAAAAATTTTTTAAATCAAATGTGGCTGTATCACCATATAATAATTTACAATTCTAGGCACGTTATAAAATGCCTTACATAAATAATCCCATTCAAACAGAAACAAGTTTTTAAATGAATAGGCATTACTACATTTGCTCAAACAAAAAAATGTTAGTTCTGTTAAGAACTAGTTTTTGTGTCCTTGGGCTGGAAAAAAATTGGAAAATAGCTACTCATGTGAAAATTTACTTTAGCTTTGTCTTTTACATTTAGTCTTAATGAGCCATTTCTGATCAGACTGGTTTTGTTCTTCCCTAGTTGATTATTGTCTAGTTTCAACAAACTTGTTCTTCTGAGGTCACTTTCTGTCTAAATTCAAGTAAAATGCCATTTGTTACAAGCAGTTCAGTTATATAGCAAACAACTCATAACACCTTAACAAAAAGCTATTGAGATATGTAGCACGTTGTGTTACTTAGATACCACCCAGTGGAAATCTTATTTATTTAGTCATGTCCAACATTGTATAAGATCTTCCACAAATACCGAGTTAATTCAGTATAGAGTACATTTTAGCTATCAAGACTATACTTTGCTTTTTAATTTAATTAATCAAGCAGGCAGTTCTAGCATTCTGCGAAAGTGTATTCTTTTCTGTTTCATCTGCTTTAGACAGATTTTTCCCACCTCTTTCCAGATATTTCTGCTATGCCCCGTGGTACTCCATTATATGGGCAGCCGTCATGGTGGGGGGATGATGAGGTGGATGAAAAAAGAGCTTTCAAGACAAATGGCAAACCTGAAGAAAAAAACCATGAAGCTGGAACATCAGGTAAAAAAATCTCAGTCACTGTGACATTAAGTGGATATTTTGGGAAGTATCTGTAATCTAAGCAAACAGCTGTCTACCATGAAAAGAGATGATCTAGTATTCTATACTTTGATTTTTTAAAATTGATGAATGTTTTAATGGCCTTGTTATTTTAATGTAAAATTTAAAATTATGTGTGATTATAAGTAAAGTATTAATTTTAATATCTTTATAAAGCACTTCTATTTAAAATATTTTTTACAGTTTAAAGGAGATGTTAAGATTTGGAAAGTAGATTAATGATATAACTAGGCATTTTAAGTTTATAAAAATAATTATTAAAATATATCAATTAGACCAAAATTGTAGGCATTAATTTTGCGTTTTTATTAGATCCCCAGAATATAATCATATTTTTAAAATAAATTAATTTATTCTTTGAGATGGGATCACACTGTGTTGCCCAGGCTAGTCTTGAACTCCTGGACTCAAGCCATCTTCCCACTTCAGCCTCCCGAGGAGCTGAGATTATGGCACACACCATCTCATGTCCAGCTTAATCATATTTTTAAATGAACATTTCCCACTTTGTTCAGAAATGTGATATGAAATTACAAATTCTTCAAAACCTCAGTGTGCTCATTGTAATGAGAAATGGCAGCAACAAGATTAGTTGAGTTTGGCAGCCAGAATGAAAAAATAGTTCTGGGTCAGATTCTCAGATTAATAGTCAAGGAACACATTTTTGATATTTCTGATATTGTTAATGGAGTGGTTCAGTCCGTAAACCAGAAAATCAAGACTTCCAGGAAATGAATGGAGGTGTCAGTTGCCACATAAGGACCTTGCAAAGACATGAGAACAGAAAGATGGAGCAGCCAGTTTTTGAGATAACAGCAGACAAGGATCCAGAACTGGAGGAATTAAGTACAGGCACCTGGGCTCAGTATGGAAGACTAAGTCTGGCTCTGAACCAAGGATAAATTCCATGAGAACTCTTCTCACTTTTCTACTTTTCACCCTAATTCTACAAGATAAATAGGACATTTTTCTTAGCTGGACAATAAGAACATTGGTTCTTTAGGTATGCTCTAATGGATACAAGTCTAGAAAAGCGAGCGTTATCAACTTCATCTTACAGTGCCCAAGGCTGAACTTGTCAACTTTGCAAATAAATTCCCATCCCAGCTTTATTGTTTCTGTCACCAGCAGTTTTCTTCATGCCCATGCACAGAAACAGTATTACTTAGCACGCTTTCAGATGTAAATAACAAATGCTGCCTGAGACTAAACAGGGAAGAAATTTACTGGCTCACATAACTGAACCCCATGAGGGTTGTTTACTTCAGCATCTCAACAATGTCGTCATCAGCTAGCTAGCTTCTCTCCGTCTCTCAGTCTTGCTCTTCATAGTGGTTGCAGACTGAGGAGTTTACCCTCACTCTCATAGGCTGCCTGCCAGTAGCAGGAAGGGGTACATGCTACTTTGATCACATCCAACAGGAAAGCGAAAACGTTACTTCCGGAAGACCTTCCAGAATTTGGAAGAACTTTGCCAAAAGTTCTTAACATCTCTCATCTCATTGGCCTCTCACAGGTTCAGGAGAGGGTCACCTGCTTATTTCTGAACCAATCCCTGGCAAGGCAAGTTAGATTATCCTTAAACCAGTCTTGCTCACCTTGAAGCTGTGTGTGATGTTAGTTTTCCCCTAAGCCACATGATCTATGTCAGGAAAGAGTGGATGCCAGAGATTTTTGGAGTCCTTTGAGGAGGAAAGAACAGGGAAAGGATATTGAAAGAAAACCAAGGATGTCTGCTTTATTTGTAAATTTTGAGTGTTCCCTTCCCTTCACCTTGTCTGTCTAATCCTTAGGTCTGTTGCCTTTCCCCACGCTGCCCGCCGTCCTGAGTCATGATTGGGCTACCAACCTGGTTTCAACCCTCCTGCAGTTTATTTTGTATAACACATCTAAACTGATCTTTATTTTCTTTGTTCAAGAAACTACAATGACTGTCTTTTGCCTGCCAAATAGATTTTTAAACTAAGTTGTTCATGTCAGAGTTTTCTAATTTTGTCCCAGTTTCCATGGTCAGCCTTACGTCCCATTACCAGTTGTTTGAGTGGTCTCTCCCAATGCATCCCCCATAAATTATGCTAATTCCTGCCTGCTCTTTTCCCACAGACATAAATACACACATACATTAAATGACAAAGAGATACATTCTAAATGATGTCTGTATATTTATCGTCAGTACGTTACAGTTTCATTCATTATGTTGTGTGTGTGCCTCCTCCCCACAGCTAAACTATACATGTCTTATTCAAGTACCGCATAATATACTATCACTGTGCCCTAGAGCCACCTAGTACTGAGAGGGGGAAAGATTTACCAATTAGGTGATTAAGAAAACATAGCTGAATATAATTATCACCAAACTCTGAAAATCAGTATGATAGTAATTTTTATCTTGCCGTTAAAATTTTAGCCCTCCCCTGTCACACACAAAACAGCTTTTGAAATCTGAAGCGCGTAACTTCTAACATACAGTGAAGTGTATATGTAATTTTTGTACAGAAGGCACAACCATGATTTACAGTAATAGCTAACACTTCAGTAGGGTTTACTTTATCCAACATTCTTCTGAGTGCTTTGTATGCATTTATTTAATCATCACAGCAATACCTAAAGGTACAGTTACGGTGATTTTGTAGATAAAGAAACTGAGGCATACTGAAATTAATTTACTTGTCAAAGTCACCCAACTACAAATAATGGAGCTGGGATTTGAACTTAGATTGCCTGACTCCTGAGTCCACGCTCTTAACCATAAGAAGTTTTAATATTTCAGCCATCATTACTCTTGTAAACACAATCACTCTAAAAGGATATACTTCATAGGGTACAAAGATTTAAACAAATACTCCAAAATCAAATAGCCATAAAAATTGATCCCTCCTAGCTCAGCATAATAAAATAAATTTCAAATGTGAAGCATCCAGCAATACTTTCATCTATATGAATGTAACTGAATTCTCAGCTTGTGTACTCTTTCTGCTAGATGACCAAAAGCCGTCTCATGATCTTGGGGTTCTTTTTGAGTAATAATTCAGTGATTTATGTCTTGTGTCAAATTCCTTAAAGTGCCCTGTCAGATACAGCTGATTAGTAATAGCCTTAAGAGACTCTCACTTGCTTTCTTATGTTAGTATGAGGATATTACTGTTTCAGATTTATCATTTGCAGCTTTTTAAAATATAGGATGAGGAAAATAGTTTACTGTCTTGTAATAATTTATGAAGCCAGCAGAAATTGTAGAATCAGATTTGAAATGTATATCAAGTGTTCTTTAATGTGGTCATTTTGAAATTAAGGTATTTTTAAAAACTTAAACTTTTTTTTTAAGTTTCAAATTGTGGAATATACGTGATTAGTTTAATAATTTATCCTGTAGCATACTCTTAGTGAAAGCAAAAAGTGATTTGCTTCTTCGTTATTAATTTTTAGAGTTGCATTCCAGAAAGGATAATAGAGTGTTTGCTACCTAGTAATTTTTAACGTTCCTCTCTGTGGGTTCATATATATCCAGAAACTCCCGAAGACTTGCCATATAGCTTAAAAAGCCCTGGTTTAAGCAAATACTTACTTTAGAGCAATTTCGTTCTCCAGAAATTGTGTGACTATTTTTAATCGTATTAAGACGTAAAGTTTGTCCTCAATTTATTTACAGCTATGCTTTTCTACCTCCTAACTTGGTCTCAACAATTAATTTAGGTTATAATTAAAGGCCTTTAACTGTTGCACACATTTTGAAATGGCATGTGCAACTGGGAATCATAGATTTTTGGCTCTCTCATGTTGATTTTTAATCCAGCGAAACTAAATTTGGAAATTTTCAAGTCGTAGCTCCTTTTAAGCAAAAGGAGCTTCCCAGTCTTCTTAATTTGACATGCTTGAACAGACTAGGTTAGATGGATGTCTTAAGCAGAATGAGCTGTTATAATTATAGTCCTTGTCATCTCAAATAAGTTTAATATTTCATTGAATTTAGTACAGAAGAATGAAAAGAACATTTATTCTGGATGAAGTATAAGTATCCCTTATAACATATTGTGTTAAGGTAACACAGTCATAAAATACCTTAAGAACATAAGCAGATTATCACCAATTGCTTTTCTGATTGAGATATATGGAATTAATTATGGCATAATCAATCATTAAATAATTTTTTAAAATCTAGTAATTGAGATTAATAATATAATATTAGTCTAAACAAGTATTTACTCTATTATTTAGTTTCATTTGGTATAACAAAATGAGTTTTGAAGATAGATGAATGTTAAATTTCTAAATTCCAGAATATGTTCTGTTAGTGTTCTGAGGGAGGAAAGGTGTTTTATTTTTCTGTGTTGATTAGAAGACCCCTTATAGTTTTCTATTAGGTACTTCTCAAGTGTAGTTGGACCACACTTCATCTGTTTTTATCATCTTTAGGGAAATGAATCCTTCCACATAATGAATTTTCCAGATGATTGAACTTTACTTTTACAGTTGATAGTTTTTTTGAAGTTTAACCATTTCCTAAGTTTCTATTAAATTAATTACCCATATTACCACCTTCTTAAGCAGAGAAGTTTCAGTATAATTTAAAACTTTTTCTTATGACTCAAAATCATCAATCATCAATATCAGTATTACTATTATATATATCAATAGCAATAGCAATATTGATATAATCAATAATCAAATATATTAGTAATATAATAATACTGATACTGCCTTACAGTAATGTCCTCAGGAGACTGTAGTATATAAGACTGTTTGCCCTATATACTGAATGGTACTGGACTATCATGTTTTTGGGGCCATTTGTCTGCTCTTGTTTTTCATCTTGTCTCTACCACTTGGTGCAATTTGTCTGTCCTTAATCCTCACTTTTGTACCCTGCCCAAGGTTTGCTACATGTGATCTGAGTAAATAGTAAAAACCTCTCGGTGAAGATCTTAACTGTTAGTAATGTTTATGAATATTCAAGGATAGGCATTGTCATATCTGTCTTGGGTTTTTTAGAGTTGGGTTTTGGTATTAGCTTTTTGTCTTCCTGATTCTCAGCTGTTTTTGAAGGTGGAGGGAGAAGCATTTATTTGTGTACCTGCTTTGTTCTGGGTAACTTACATGATCTCACTTAATACTCATCTCACTAAATCTTCACAACAATCTTATGGGAAGATACTGTTTTCTCACTTTATGATGAGGAAAATGAGGACTACAGACTGATTAGGGATAAGATTTATCTGATTTCAGATCTTGTCTGGGCTTTGCATGAAACCAGGCTGCCTGGTTATGATCATCAGATCATAGTCTGCTGCCTTTCCACTCTATTGTGCTACTTGACCTGGTTAGGTACTTGATTTCTAGATGAATTAGTTATTAACTTGTATAAGTCTCAAGTTTCTAGCTTTGAGTGAATGCGAGTTTGAAGTAGTACTAACATGGGAATGGTGACCTTCAAAACAGGTGACCTTGATAAGTGCTATATCCCTGGCCAGCTTTTTTGTGTTGCTTCATAGCTGAGCCACATCAGTTTTATTTAGCTCTCTGTATAGTGGATCAGTTTTATTTGGCTCTCTGTGTAGTGGTATTAGAAACTACCATCTTGACGTTGTTCTGTCACCTGAAGGATGAGCAAAGCAAAAACAAACTATATGTATATATCTATATGGGGGGAGGGAGAGAGGACAGGTTTATGAACCAGTTGTACTGTATGGACTTGATCAAGTACAGTACATTGTGCATAGTAAAAAAAAATCAATGTCTGAAAAAATAGAAAAATAACATTAATGAACTATTAATATATGAGAAGCAGTTAATACATTTTATTCTAATGGAAATTTTAACTAACATGACTTCAGAGTAAACACTCACAAGTCCAGCTGAACATTTTATTTTTAAGAAAAAGACAAATTAACTCTTTAATCAAACATTTTTTTAAACTTAGGTCATGTCATATAAATGTATGATTATTTCTCTGATAATGTAGAGTTTTTCCAATACTTTTCTTTCATGTTCAGTGATAGGAAAGCTGAGTAGATTTTAAAAGGGATAATTTTTCACAGTGAAAATTACAATATATTCTTTCATATTATATGTTCTCTTTGCCTTGTGTTTAGATTTTTTTGACAATTTATTATTATTATATTTATTGTGGAAATGGAGCTTGTTGTCTTCCGTGCCCTATCCCACACATTTGATTATGAAAGAGAGATGTTACTATATCATTCTTCTGTAACCTAAAAGCAGTCAGGTTTTATATTATTTCATATTCAGACTGCTGTCAAGAAACCAATTATAGTACCTGACAGATCCCACTAAAATTTAATTTTTGAAAAGATGTTTCAAAAGACCAAACGCTTCACTTAATTAGAAAATGTTTGGAAACAACCTAGTCTCCCTGTATTGCCTTGTTTTCCTAATAAATTGTCTGTAAGTGATTTTTCTATTAATCTGTTTAAAAGCAGAATTTATTTTTGAGCTTTAGGGAAATATGTCTCATTTCAACTTGCTCTTCATTTTGATAATGGACATGCTTTGCTTCTTCAACAACAGGACAATAGCATCTTTAATTTTTTTATTTTGCATTTGCGTACCGAAAACGTTTTAGTTGTCATTTTTATTTATGTATTTTATTCATAAATGCATCTGTTTCTATACTTTTGTATTAGATTCTGAGGCAACAGAAGAATAGTGATAGTGTTCCAGAGTTGCTTGCTCCTTCTGCCAACTCATGTTAATCTGAGGTTTACAATTCAGCTTTCCTCCAAGGAATTTTGACACTTTTGCATATTCTGCTGTATGGAAATGTAAACTTCCAGAGTTATTGTCTGGAAACTGAATTTCCTATTTTAACCTTATTTCGTTCACACTGCTGCTTGGATTGCAAACCACATGTTTTAGTCTTTATAAAATGTTTGTATCTTCTTGCAAGGATCGCACTTCAGCAATATCTTTGTCATTCTGAAAGTAATGTTTCCGAATGTAATGGTGAAGAATGGTAAGTGGAATCATTACTTCCAGAAGATCACTTACATATTTACTTCATGTTTGTATTCTCATTTGAGCACCTATTCTCCTTTGGAGCACTACATGTGTTCATATATATTTCAGATATCTCATCTTGGCGACTTGAGAAGGGAGTTCATGGTTTTTCTGTCACTTTTTATATATACATTGAACATGCATCTCCATCTACATTTTATTTTAATTCTTTTGGACCTTGATGAATTCTAGATCCAGGTTGGAAAAAATATGGACCTAGCCATGCAAGATCCATTTCTTAACTGCTTTGCTCTCATTTGCCATTGCTGCTGCTTATCTTCCATCCCCTATTGGTAATCAAATCGCATGTTTATAATCAAGATTCTTTCTTCTCTGTGACATTTGTTCTGTGATATAAATGCCATTGGTTTTCATCCAGACTGTGATCTGCCTTCTGGTTCTCACGGAGTAGTACACATGGCCATTACCAGACTCCCTCAAGTGCCAGAAGCAATCAAATATTTTGAATTTTCTCTTATTTTTCTCATTAGGGTGCGGCATAGATGCCAAGCAAGTTGAGGAACAATCTGCAGCTGCAAATGAAGAAGTACTTTTTCCTTTCTGTAGGGAACCAAGTTATTTTGAAATCCCTACAAAAGAATTCCAGCAACCATCACAAATAACAGAAAGCACTATTCATGAAATCCCAACAAAAGACACGCCAAGTTCCCATATAACAGGTGCAGGGCATGCTTCATTTACCATTGAATTTGATGACAGTACCCCAGGGAAGGTAACTATTAGAGACCATGTGACAAAGTTTACTTCTGATCAGCGCCACAAGTCCAAGAAGTCTTCTCCTGGAACTCAAGACTTGCTGGGGATTCAAACAGGAATGATGGCACCCGAAAACAAAGTTGCTGACTGGCTAGCACAAAACAACCCTCCTCAAATGCTATGGGAAAGAACAGAAGAGGATTCTAAAAGCATTAAAAGTGATGTTCCAGTGTACTTGAAAAGGTTGAAAGGTAAAGTGATTTGATCATTCAGAACTTCCTACTTTACGATAAAGAAAATCTGGTCTTCATTTACTAGACTACTAGTAGATACTTACATGGTAGAAAACATTCTGCTTTTTTCAAAGGTTATATTTAGTCTTAAAACTAAACAGGAAGCTACACTGCCCATGTCCAATTTCCTCATTCAAAATAGTCTTCCTTCATTTTCTTGACAAAACCAGATTGGTTTTATGAGCTTATATTTATGCTATAAAACATGTTTCTTTTTCTTCTAGAAATATAAGATTTATTAAGTTTACCAGTAGAGTTCCCTAGAAGATGAGTTCCATCATTTTCTTGATTTAAGGAAAAGATATATTCAATTCTGTTCTCTATTGAGATCAATATCTAGATTCTGAAAGAAATTTTAAGTCATTTGGTCTGAGCCAAAAGTTCTACTTTGGTAATGCAGTCACATCATTGATGGAGCGCTTCAAAGTATTCTCAGTGGTTACTCATAAAACAAAGATTTTTGGTTTAGAAATATTTGGTAGGATCTATTAATCCAGTTTTAAAATTTTTTTTAATATTAGGACTTCATGAAAATTAGAGTTGAATGTTCATTTTTGAAATAGTTATATATACTTTATTTGTGTAGAACTTAGCCAAAATTAGTACAATTTGTATGTTTGTACACTGATGTATCAGCTGATCAGTTTTTTCTCATTGGTTTTGCCAATTAAATTTATTTTAGAATTGAGTATAGATTTATGTTACCCTATCTTTTATTTAATAAGCTATCTATAAGGAAAACGATTTTGAACAAATTGTGATTACACGTTTAGCTGACCATTCTGTTACTATATTAGGAGTTTTTGTACTCCTAACACTTCATCTAGTACTTGAGCATGTGATAGGTACTAATTTGAAAACAATGGGCGATTTCTCTGTCAATGACAAGACTGTCCCTGATTTAATCTGTACCTTATGTCCTGGCATTCTGATCAAGTAATGAAGAAATAGTATTTGTATACTTATTTCTGATTTGCTTCTAAGACATTTCCGGACAGTGAGATGATGTGATTACCTAATTATTTGTTGGAGCCTATCACAATATTTAATTATAGTTATCAGCAGTTACCTGGCATATGTATTTTTGAGACATGATTGTGACATTTTACTTCTAGACAATACGTAATTGAGACATTTTGTTTCTGTAGGTTAACACTCACAAACACATAGGCTGTTTATATGAATTGGATAAATAATATTGATCTCCTAGTACAGTATAAGAGGTAGCTGAACCTTGAGAATTTAGAAATAACTTAGACTTTTTAAAACCACTCTTAATAAACAAAAACTGAGGTAAAATATCCTTTTAAAAGGTAATCATTTTAAAAATACCTTTATTAAACCCATTTATAACTTAGTCATTATAACTATTTTCTATATTGACTATTATTATTACTACTATTTTTTTTTTTTTTTTTTGGAGACAGAGTCTCGCTTTGTCACTCAGGCTGGAGTGCAGTGGCGCGATCTCGGCTCACTGCAAGCTCCGCCTCCTGGGTTCACGCGATTCTCCTGCCTCAGCCTCCCGAGTAGCTGGAACTACAGGCGCCCACCACCACACCCGGCTAATTTTTTTTATTTTTAGTAGAGACGGGGTTTCACCGTGTTAGCCAGGATGGTCTTGATCTCCTGACCTCGTGATCCACCCACCTTAGCCTCCCAAAGTGCTGGGGTTACAGGCGTGAGCCACCGCGCCTGGCCTGTATCGACTATTATTTTTAAGCCATTATTTTAAAACGTTCTGTCCTCACAAGCCCATTTGTGGGCCTAATTCCAAATAGAGGGATTAATGTCCACATGTATACTATATCTGTATTTTAATGATTAGATCTTTTAAGCCCTTACTAGAAATTATGTAATCATATTACTGTTGTCCTTCAAAGTTGATTTATAGGTAGACATACATTCCAGTATGGTGCCAGTGTGAGAACTCTTCTTTTGGATTTGCCTTCAGACCATTTTACAAGCCATTGAAGATAATGTTTTTGTGAATATAACTCATTTTTTGATCCAAGATAGACTCATTTTACTTTTCTGGACATGTGTATAAATGACATGTGACTTTCTCCAAAAGTCAGAGCTTCCATCATTAGATAACAATTTTCCATGATTTAGGATATAAAAAGTATATAGCCAGACTCTAAATAAATGTAATTATAGCAAATAATAAAAATTTTACAAAAATTAGGTTTTCAGCAACTGTTTAGATCAAAGAATTGAAAGTAGGCAAAACAAAACTAAAACAAAAAACTTTGCTCCTACAAGAGTAAAATGCAGGTGCTTTGCGACAGTTTGGAAAATAAAGCCCATACACTTTAACCCTTTAGGAGAGTTGCCACTGTTTTAGGCCACACCACTGACTTGTTACAGCTAACCTACCCTAAAAATATTAAAAGGACTTCAACATATTTAGGCATGGTTAATGATGAGCAAAGGAAAGAAAAGAACTTGGTGAGGACTGTTTCCTAGTGACTTTTTTAATGAGTAGAAACAGAAAATTGCAGCTGTGATGAGATGTTGACTTGTATAACCCTGACAAAATACAAGAGGGAATGGTAATTTTCCAAAAAAGAAAATGACTAATTTATAAGAAAAGTTTTGAACTACAAGTTATAGGAAAGATATTTGAAAGGGCCTGACACCACTAAGTGCCAAATTTTATCTATTGGAATCAATTAAATTCTGTGAAGATGGTATTTTCATTAAAATCTTTCTGTATGTGCGTGATCTGTTATTCTTATGGTACAGCAAATATTGGAATTTAGTTATTTTCAGCTTTTAGAAACTGGATTCCTTTTCAATAGAGCCATTACAACAATGAAATAGGTTGTAAAATCTAGTGTTTTTAATGAAGTCTATATTTGAACTAAGGAGTTTGTTTGGGCTTGCCTTTCATCTGCTATCTGTTATTCCTAGCTTAATTACCTGAGGCAGGGATTTCATTAATTAATCCCATTTTTTCTTTTCAGATTGCATTTTGAGTAGTCAACAATTTGAAGAAAGATCTTCAGATTTGTTGTCATATATGATTTTTATAGTATTAATCACTATTACTTTGATAGACATGATCTCCAAATCACCTTCATTTTGATCTTACTCCCTTTGTTTCCCTTGCCTATTACTTTTCCAAGACATGACCCTTTTCTGTGCATTCCGCAGTTCTCTCTTCTGTGTCTTCTCATTCCTTTTATGCACCACATTTTTATAACTAGTGTTTCTGTGTTAAATCATTGGGACCAGTTAGTAATCTCTAAATTCATTAGGAACAACCTATAAACATTAACACTCAACTTCCCTAGACATAGGTCATTTGCTTCTCCCACCCCCAAGTCTTTCGTGTCTGATCATTATTTTGTTTGGTACCATATTATTCAGTGGGTGTTCACATTAAAATTTGTAGCCCAGGTAAATTTAAAAATCAGATTTAGTCCTGGAAGCATTAGAATGTACCTCGTTGACTAAATTCATTCATAGCTAAAGAAGTTTAAAACTAATTTAAGCTCTGATTTGTGATTCCATTTAAAACATGCACAGAATAACTTGACTTTCTAATAATTTCATGCTATAATAATACAATATCATTTGATTATTTTTATCATATACTTATTATTTAGGTAATGAGAATTTTAAATCAGGAAAAAAATAATTTTTGTGTCATCACATCCAAAACCTAACAGAACCATTAAGGGTAACTAGTGGCTTTTACTTGCTCTAAAATAGAAAAACCTTTGTTAAAGAGGTGATCTTTCAAAATTCCGATATATTCTAACCTGATATGCTTCCTGGGGAAAATAGCTGGTTATATTGAGCACCATGCTGTTTGCCCAGTGGTCCTTAGATCTAGGTGGAGATTTCATAGATGACCCTTTGCATTGATAGACCTCTCAGCATGCTTTCTTTAACTCTGAAGCCACTAGAGTTTGGAGTGCAAATGCAGTTTTCAAAAATTCTCATAGCTGGAAAGATATGTGGAAAAAATTTTGCAATAATTAATGGGGACTACAAATTTGAATCTTTTTAATAAAAAGGAAAAATATGCTGAGCTTCTGAAAGTACTGAACATCAGTGAAGCTTAAGATTCATCACATTTTTACCATACTTATGTTCTCATTTCCTGTGTAACAGTAAGCATTTCAGTGACATTACCCTTTTTCTTGTCTTTTTTCATCTCTAATGCTAGAGTCAAATTTTTTATTGCTAAATAAGATGTATAATTTGAAGGCAGAATTAATGTTTATTGATGTTAGGAATACAAATATCGCAGAGATAGAGCATCAATTATCTATTAAGACATTGATGAAACATTATAAAGTTAAAATTTGGAGAAAGGCGATCCTATTCAGTTGTTTATAAAGGACCTCATTGTTAGTTGATAAAATTTGAATGTAACCATTGCAATTGAGCAAGTTTGCCGAGCCTGTTACTGAAGAGAACATATGACTTTGGATTGAAAAGGAGGAGGGGAGCAAAACAAATAGCACTTTTGTATATGCTTCTAAATTTCTACATGGGACTTTTTCCTTCTCTATTGTGTGTTTTCTTTTTGTATCCAGGAAATAAACATGATGATGGTACGCAAAGTGATTCAGAGAACGCTGGGGCTCACAGGCGCTGTAGCAAACGTGCAACTCTTGAGGAACACTTAAGACGCCACCATTCAGAACACAAAAAGCTACAGAAGGTCCAGGCTACTGAAAAGCATCAAGACCAAGCTGTTGTAAGTCAAACTGCTTTTATGATTGCATTCTTTGATGAAGACAATCCCAGAAAAAGAAGGTCGTATTCTTTTACTCAAAGTGCGGGAATCTTGTGTCAGGAAACTACATATTCAACACCACATACAAAACTTGAGAAAGCAAAGTCTCCAACAGCAGATGCCAAAGTGGTTTCTTTGTCTTTACAGACTAGCTCTGCGCATCACAGAGGGGGGCATGGTGTTCCACATGGGAAATTGTTAAAACAGAAATCAGAGGAGCCATCGGTGTCAATACCCTTCCTACAAACTGCATTATTAAGAAGTTCAGGGAGTCTTGGGCACAGACCAAGCCAGGAGATGGATAAAATGTTAAAAAATCAAGCAACTTCTGCTACTTCTGAAAAGGATAATGATGATGACCAAAGTGACAAGGGTACTTATACCATTGAGTTAGAGAATCCCAACAGTGAGGAAGTGGAAGCAAGAAAAATGATTGACAAGGTAAATAATTGAAATTTGAGTGTGATCTTAGTTGTTGTGTGGTGTATTTGACTGGTGGAAATTATTGGAGAGTCAGCATGAGATGTTGTCATGCAGTCAGTGGTATGTGAATTTTAGGGTTTTGTTAGGGAACTGCAAGACTTAACAGTAAGACCAACATGCTTTGTGATTTTATTTGCTGATATTCTGAATTTACCTGAGTTTCATACATAAAGCTCTGTACATTTAAAAGGTTTGGACCTTTTAAATTTGTGTAAATTAAAGATAGGTTTTAAAAATAGTATGCTTTGGACATTCTTGCTTTGCATTTGCTTAAAAAATAAAAAGAAACAACCAACAAACATTGCTATAACTCTGTTAACATAAATGTAGATATTAGCCAATAATAGTTAACCACAGATTTCCTACCTGCTGATTTCATGTTGGAAGATGAAAATACTTATTTTAGCTTTGTTCTTTGTCCGTATGTTTTCTTAATTTCTATTCACTGCTGTCATTGGTGGTAGAAGAGAAGTATATGAAAACAAAATCAGTTGTTTATGATTTAGTTTACTAGTTTAACCACGTATATGACCAGTCGTGATAGTTACCTACATTTCAAGTGTATTCTTTGATATTATTGGTTAGCGTGTGTAAGGATTGTTGCATGGTTTAAAAAGCAATTTTTCTCAGTTTTGCCAATGGTCGTGAAAGGTTGACTTTAGAATCAGCTATCAAGGTTGCCGTTGAAAGTAATGGCAAAAACCGCAGTGACTTTTGCACCAACCTCATATTACCTCTTGCAAAACAGCAGTATCCGTTTGGCTAAACGTTAATCTTTTGTTTGAATTCTTGTTACTCAAATCCACTCCACGGGTTAGCAGCATAAATATTACTTGGAAGCTTGTTAGAAATGCAGCTTCTCAGGCCCATCCTATATATACCAAGTCAAAATCTACATTAGAAATGAGATCTCCAGTTGACTAATGTGCACATTAACATTTGAGATGCACTTATTTAGATGATGAGTTTCTGGAATGGCCTCTTCAGGGAGGAGGGCAAGATAAGATAACCCTTTGGGATGCAGGAAAAATATTAGAACTTAATGTTTACTTTTATTTTCATATTTTTAATTTTTATTTTGGATTGTGTTCTATAGTGTATAAAATCTCTTACTACACTGTAAGAGAGTACGTATAATTTCTAAACATACATTTATTGTGAAGTACATGCTTCAGGTTTACCACTGAGCTGCTCAACTCCAAACTTTTAGAGACCCATTGTCTGGGAAATAGGTGAGCAATATTATAGTTGTTAATATGAAAAGTATAGTGTTTAAGAAACATCTGATGTTTCTTAATGACTGATCATAATGGCTGATGTTTTCCCATTAAAAGATTATTTTGCAGTGAAGGATTTTATATGTATATATATATAGAGAGAGAGAGAGAGTGCAATTTAAGAACATGGACCCTTGTAAGCAGACAGATCTGGGATTAAATATAAACTTTGCATGTGCTTGTGTGTGCCCTTGGGTAAAGTTACCTCTTTAAGCCTCAGTTTCTTTTATCTCTGAAACAGAGGCGATATCACTAGATTATAAAAAGAATTCAATAAAACATGTAAAAGGCTTATCACAATACCTATCTTATTATATTGCTTTATAAGTGTTGCTTTATCATTACTGTTATTAGGAGTTTCCACATTTGAATCTCTACATAAAGTACTGACAAATCCCAGAATGTTCTTTCAGCACTGAAAGGGTTAAATATAAAACCACAATGGAAGTGACAGTGTGAGGGGCTAGCTTGGCCAGGACAGCAGAAAGCCAAGAAAGAAGTCATTGTAGCAGATGAAACTCTTCAGGAAACTGCTGGATAGAGAGGGTGGCCACAAAACCTGTTTTACACCTGTTGCCTACAATTATCATAAGCATCATTTTTTATTCTCAGAGTCCATTTTGACAGCAAATTATATGGTCACACTGTGGATAGAGAAACCCAAGACTTTAGAGCAGGAGTCATTTAAAGGAGTAATGGTAGTGTGTGACTGTGTACATAGTTCAAAGTCATTCTTAGTTTGTATAAACCAGAAAATGAAGCTGAGACCATATTGCTGGGAAGAACAAAGCTCACTACATTATCTTGTGACTACCAAAGAAAAAGAGCTAAGATTCCATTAGCTTGAATCCACATAAAGCTTAAAGCCAAATTCGGGCTAATTAAAGTCAGGCTCTGGGAAAACAAAAGCATAAAAGCAGTAATCATGTCTGAGTAAGATGAAGTAACCTGTGGGTATGAAGAAAACAAAGACCAACAACAGCCAGAAGGAAGGCAGAAAAAGCACTTTGGGAGGATAGGAGTAGATACAGGCATCATATCAAGTTGCCTGGATGAGTGTTGTCATCCAGTTTCTCCATTTTGAGGTTTGGGTGTGTGGGATTGAAGTTGGGGCCATCAGCTGTTGTTTGTCTGAATTTAAATGTTCTTTGGTCCTGGAAACGTTCATGTGGTCTAACTCTTCTTTTCACGTCATCATTTGAGATGTGTTCTATTTCATTGATTCATTTATTTAGCAACTTTAATTCAACATTAACTATGTGCCAGGCTTTGTGTCTACGAGAAGGTGATTCACAATGAAAAGACTGAGCTCTTTCTCTCAGGAAATGGCTGTGTACTGGAATAGATATACACAGACAAAAACCAAGACTTTAAAAATAAAGCTGTTGGAGGAAAGCTACCAATAGCTTCCAAGAGGAGATCTCAGGTCTTCAGAGGACATTCCTTCCTCAGAGAAGTCTTTAGTCATTCAGTTAAAAAAAAAAAAAAGTAGTCACTGTCATCAACTTGTTTCATTTTAATCATAAGCTTTATTACTGCTTCACCAGTTCACTGTTTATTCATTTGCCTCCCTACTCCCATTGGAAAGAGACACAAACAAATGTAAACTCCATGACTGTAGGAACCTAGTGCCAGCATATAAAATGTCCTCAATAAATATTGCCAGCTGAGCTAGTCGTGAAACATACGTAATTAATCCCATAACAGGCATGCTAGGTAGAGTTTTCCAGAAATATGGAACAGCCTATTCGAAAGCACAGGAGCACACATGACTTGTTCAGAGGACCACAGTTACTTTTGAAGAGATGAGATTGGACTCGATATTGAAGTTCATTATATATCATACTGAGGACTTTAATGCCGAAGGCAGTGGGGAATCATTGAAAACATTTAAGTAGGGCAATGACATGGTCGAGTCACTGTCAGAAGTGTGAAGTATGGATTGAACATTGGAAATGCCAGAAGCACAGAAGGCAATCTAAAAGCTGCTGTCATGTCCAGTAGTCAATTAGTTAATGACTAGATCTTAGGTAAGAGGCCTGGGCTAAAAATACAGATCTGGGAATTATTAGACAATAGAGGGCAGCTGTCTTAGTATGTTTTGTGTTGCTATATCTGAGACTGGGTAGCTTATCAAGAAAAGAGGTTTGTTTAGCTCACAATTCTGCAGGCTGGGAAATTCTAGAGCATAGCTCCACATATGGCTGGCTTATGTTAAGGGCTACATGCTGGGTCAAAACATGGTAGAGAAAGTCAGAGGGGAAGTGGACATATGCAAAAAGGCAAAACAAGAGGGGCTGCCTCACTTTATAACAGTCTACTGTGAAGGGAACAAATCCATTCCCATAAGAACAAGAACTCACAAGATAGCATTAATATATTCATGAGAGATCTGCCTTTTTGACCCAAACACCTCCCATTAGGCCTCACCTCCCAACACTGTCACACTGGCAATTAAACTTCTACATGAGTTTTGGCAGGGACAAACCACATCCAAACCATAGCAGTAATTGAATACAAAATAAGAGATGAGATTAATCAGAGAAAATGTATAGGGTGAGAGCAAATAAAGTATGAAAATCTCAGCAACACCAACATTGATGGACAAAGGAGAAGGGGGAACAAAGGAAACTGAAAAATATGTAACAGGAATAAGAGAAAACCAAAGGAATATGTAGCATCTTGGAATAAAAAGCAGAGCAAAGAGAAGTCAGTAAGCAACAGTATCACATGACACACTGATGTTAACTATGATGAGCACAGAATGCCTTTTCAGTTTTTCTCCAAAATACATTGTAATTCTTGGGCTAAAGAAGATGAGCAAACCGTGTATTTGCATCTTACCTTGGGAAGAGTTGCATAGCATTAAAATAGGATTTCTTTAAAGAGATGACCAAGCTAAACTGCTGTATCCTTATTTTTCTGTGCTGGTAGTAGTTAAAAGATAGTGAACTACCTACCCTCTTTTTCTGTCGCCAAGTTATGAGATTACAGCATTTGGGTTTGTATTTTGGGGCTGTCTCTCTCAATAGATCACCTTATTTTATGCATGTCCTCAAATTCACCTTTAAAATGTTAACACAAATACCTGATATTGATAAAGACCTCTTAAGTTTTACATCTAAGTTTACATGGAAATACACTATAAGAAAGTGCTGTTGACTGCCTAGATTAAAGGCATTTATCTCTCATACTAGTAATTATCTCTCCCAACCCTCTCTCCCTTGGCCTCTCCGATAACTACCTTCCCATCACAGTACCAGTTTCTTCTCTCCACTCTTCCATCAAAAGAGATAACCACTGAGGCAAGAGGAAGACCTTGTCAGGGTTACTTCCTAACCTCCTAAGCTAAATAGGAGAAACTTGTGGTAAGAACAGAAAGCTAAACATTAAAGGAACAAGAAAAAATGATCATTGTGGAGGGCTTGAGGAACTATCCTCTTAAAAGAAATATTTCTCCTCATAAATTTCATACCATAGACCAACTCTGCCAGATACTTTTCTTGTCCTGAGTTTTGATTCTTGTTCATTGTGTCAATATATCTCCCCTACAAAGCCTCTTACTAGCGTCTTTTCTTCCCTCATAGGGCCTGGTCACTGCTGGTTCTATAAGCAACAGTTGGTAGGGAAGAATCTAGAGCCAGGAGACCTATAACAAAACTAGAAACATGGGAGGAAGAACATTTACAGCAGTGAGTCAAACAGCTCAAGAAAGTCAGTGCTGCGGATCTGGACCCTGTAAAAATATTCCAAACCCTGAAAGTCACAGCAAGATTTAAGATGAGATCCAAGTAAGAGCCAGGGAAACGATGATAAACCAGAATCAAAATCTATGTAGAAGAAGGCAGGATGTCCAAAGTCCACTCAGATAGAGAATTAGATGTGCATGGGAACTCAAGGAGTAGGAGATCAAGTGAGAGCCTTGGACAATAGGAGAAGACTTTGACGACAGTCAGCATTTTTATTTTTGACTGAGCAATTTTTTCTGTATTGAGAATTTTTTCTTTTTAATTTCTACCAGGAGAGCTTACTTTTGGTTTCTCTGATTAGTTCTCCTCAACCCTTCTTAACCTCTGCTGCCTCCTTCCTGGGTATAAGAAACCCTCTCCTGCTGTGTTAATTTCCAAAGCTTCACGAGGGAACCCTCACCTTTTATTCAGCCAGACGCCTAACATAATAGGTTTGTCCTCATTTTCCTTTCTCTCTTATTGTATGAAATTCTATTTATTTTCCTCTTTGAGGAAATTGTGCCCTCAATCTAATAAGCTCTTCCTTGTCTTTTTGGCATGCCTAGCTTCTCATAATTCATTTTATTTATTCCTTCCATCTTTTTATTGTGGAAAATATATATAAGAAAATTTATCGTCTTAGCAATTTTTAAATGTAGCGTTTAGTGTTATTAAATACGTTTAAAATGTTGCACAACCATCACCGCCATCCATCTCTGTAACTTTTTGTCTTGAAAAATGGAAACTCTATACCCATCTCATAATTCACTTTGAAGTGGCTTTTACTCACCACTCTATTTAAAGTAGTTGCGTCATTCACTTCTTATATCTCTCCATCAGATTGCCATGTTGTGTTTTCTTTATAGAACTCACTTCCGTCTGGTTTATTTTCTGTTTGTTCACTCTAAGATTTTGTTATTTGTCTTGTTCACATCGTATCCCTTGTGTCTAGAACAGTGTCTGGCATGTAATAGACACTCAATAAATATCTTTTGAATGTGAATGAATGAGAAAGAAAAATTTGTGACCTGCTTTTTCATTTGTTAGCATTTGTGTATGATTCGTTGTAGATTGGCTAACTTATTTCAATGAATTTATAGATTAATTAAATCCAACCATGCCCCCACAAAGAAATTTTTCTGCATTTTTATATGCTGAAACTAGTTTATATCTTGATTCCAAAATAACTTGTTAAAATATATAGTTTAAAACCTTGTATATATTATAAACTTAGCTTTGTAATATTAAGTATGAAAGCAGCAAAGATAGATAGTCTCAGAAGAAGAAGAAATGTATAAATTTTGGGGAGATGCTGTGATAAATAGACTAGACTTACCTTTGAGTTCCTAGCGATACCTACCTGACAGCTTCCAGCTGGAAAATCTGCTTGGCAAGGAAAGGGGAATATGATTATTGATGAACTTCCAGCTTATAGGGACTGTAAGAGGGGATACATGACCAGGGAATGAACCATAAAAGGGAGAGAAATTGGACATTTAAATTTTAGAGGAATTAGATGAGATCTAAGTATAATTTGAAGATATGAAAGAAAGAGCAAATCGAGAAAGATGTAGGAAGTGATGGGAGGGAAGAGATTATGGATGTAAGACTTCTAAGTAATGGGGAGAATCAAGGACACAAGGTAGGTTAAGAGGGAAGACAAAGATTTAAGAACATGTTTTCACCCAGACAGGAGAGCAAAGGAAGAAGACAGAGGCTGAGCGCAGTGGCTCACGCCTGTAATCCCAGCACTTTGGGAGGCCAAGGCGGGTGATCACGAGGTCAGGAGATTGACACCATCCTGGCTAACACGGTGAAACCCCCTCTCTACTAAAAATACAAAAAAAACAGCAGGGCATGGGGCATGAGCCTGCAATCCCAGCTACTCGGGAGGCTGAGGCAGGAGAATCGCTTGAACCCGGGAGGCGGAGGTTGCAGTGAGCCAAGATTGTGCCACTGCACTCCAGCCTGGGTGACAGAGCAAGACCCATCTCAAAAAAAAAAAAAGAAGAAGAAGATAGAGTCCCATTTAAAGAAAATATGAGGTAAAATTCATATAATATGAAATTGACTATTTTAGCCATTTAAAGTATACAATTCAGTGGCTTTTAGTACATTCACAGGGTTGTACAACCATCAGCACTATCTTAATTTCAGGGCATTTTCATCACTGCAAAACCAAATCTCATGATCATTAAGCAGTCACTTCCCATTCCTTCCTCTCCCAGCCTCCTGGCAGCCACTAATCTACTTTTTGTCTCTATGGATTTGCTTATTCTAGACATTTTGTATAAATGGAATCATACTATATGTGGTCTTTTGTGACCGGCTACTTTCACTTGGAATAATGTTTTCAAGGTTCACATGTGTTGTAACCTGTATCAGTACTTCACTCCTTTTTTTTTTTTTTTTTTTTTTTTTTTGAGGCAGAGTCTCGCTCTGTTGCCCAGGCTGGAGTGCAGTGGCGTGATCTCGGCTCACGTTATGCGATTCTCCTGTCTCAGCCTCGCTAGTAGCTGGGACTACAAGCACTTGCCACCACGCCCGGTTAATTTTTGTATTTTTAGTATAGATGGGGTTTTGCCATGTTGGCCAGGCTGGTCTCAAACTCCTGACCTCAGGTGATCCACCCGCCTTCGGCCTCCCAAAGTGCTGGAATTACAGGCACGAGCCACCACTCCCTGCCCATTCCTTTTTATGGCTGAATAAATATCTTATTGCGTGCATAAACCACATTTTATTCATCCATCCATCCACAGATGGATAATTGTGTTCTTTCTTCCTTTGGCTGTTGTAACACTGCTGTGAATGTGCATGCACATATATTTATTTGTGGACCAGGATAAATTATAAAATGTCTCTCCTGACTCCCTTTCTGTGCTCTTCTAATAATTTTGTCTGAATTTTAAATTTAAAAGTTGATTACAAATATGTGATAAAAATCACAGTGTTAAATATTCACAATAACTTATTCCATGGAATTTTAAGGGATTTTTCTTTTTAAAAGTAAAATTAGATTTTCATAGACAATTACAAAAATAAATTCCCCTCTTAAATCATCCTGATTTAGTTCCTTGACACTAGTGGCTAGAATTCTGCATAATTCTTAATTCTTAAAGTGTCAAATTATTTTCATGGGCCATGGGAACCTCTACTATTGATTTGATCCAACAGAGACCCTGCTCTCCTTACCCAAGAAGTCTTTGCTCATTGAGGAGGAAGATGTTCTGGTTATCTGAGGTTGAAACTTGAGTACATTTTTACTTGGACACCTTGATGTGATTGATATACTAATGCAATACTGTTTTTCAGTTGTTACTTTAAAATAAGATTGTAGAAGTTAGATGTTTAATCTGCCATTATATTTTTCATTTCTGTGGGAATATGAATTCTGAATTCCTACTGATTTGGATATTTTTTAAACTAATAAATTAGCACTATTGCTATTGAATTATCATTTTGCTCTACATTGTATTACTATAGTTTTATGCCTACATCTTACCCCACGGCGCTTCTCTTCTTTCACAATGGTCTCTATTTTCTGTCACAATCAGCAAGCTTCCCGTATCTGATGTTACTAAATGTAAATTTTGACCTCTCTGCAAATATTCAATAGGTAGGATATTTATCTGCATGAAAGTTGACCCTGTATCCCCCATCCTCACCATTCTGATTTCAGAATTGGACACTGTGCATCTTTGCACAGACTGAGCTTTTCAATAATAATGACTATGATCATAATATGCTAGTGAAAAAAATCAGTCAAACTTTTCATAGGTTTGGTTTGTATTGTACGAGTTTGTTATCTGGAGAATGTTTAGTCTCTTTAAACTTAAAACTAAAATCTAAAAATATCGTTTGGTTCTTATGGATATTTGGTTTTAATTACAGAATATTCCTGCATGGTTCTTTCAGGTGACAGCCTCTTCTTTTTATAAGCTCCTTTATCAGACGTAACCTCCTCAAAAGCAAAGACTGTCATACAGATTTTGTAATCCCCTGCAGTGGCTAGCCAAGTAGCCTGTGGAGAGTAAGTGCCATTCCTCAGTAACAGGTTGTTAAAATTGTTTACAGTAGCCACTGAGCTTTGGATTTGAAATCCCAAAGTGAAATGCCAAATATACAAATGTATTCAGAAGAAAAGATTGTTTCATGATTGTTGGAGTGGGATAGGGAGGGAGGTACTGCCTTCTTACCCCAGACCTAAAGGCCATGGCAGAGGGGTTGTGGCTCACTCCACAGAGATGTATCTACTCGGATCGGGGGAACTGTAGGAGAGAATATGTGAAAGCCACTTCCTACGCCCAGTACGAATGAGTTGTCTTTAAACATCTGCCAGGCCCAGACAGCTCTCCATGCAAGTGCAAGTTCACAAAGGAGTTTTCACCTCCTGTCCTATTCCGCCTTCCTTTGATCCTACTCTGGAAGAATTAGAAACTGGCAAACTTGGGGTGCAAGCATAAAAATTAGGTGTCTCATCTCCTTCCCCACTGTGGACTTCTAGCCTACAGAAGTTCCTAGCTGAATGAAAGACCTAGATTTTGTACTATCTCATGTTTGGGATTTGGATTGAGACCAGACCAGAGAAGAGAATCATGAGCCTAGAGGTGAGATACTATGTTGGAAATACCTTTGAGGCCGGGCGTTGTGGCTCACGCCTGTAATCCCAGCACTTTGGGAGGCTGAGGCAGGCAGATGATGAGGTCAGGAGATGGAGACCATCCTGGCTAACACGGTGAAACCCCGTCTCTGCTAAAAATACAAAAAATTAGCCAGGCGTAGTGGCGGGCGCCTGTAGTCCCAGCTACTCGGGAGGCTGAGGCAGGAGAATGGCGTGAACCCGGGAGGCGGAGCTTGCAGTGAGCCGAGATCGCGCCACTGCACTCCGGCCTGGGCGACAAAGCGAGACTCTGTCTCAAAAAAAAACAAAAAAGAAATACTGTTGAGCCTTCCAGCAGGTGGGATGACAGTAAGCAACAGTCTAGATAGTTGGTAATTGAAGTGAAGCCTTGCATGTTCCTAGGTGAAATCACCTGGGAATAGAATCTAAAATGAAAGGTGAGAGAACCTAGCATACTTGGTCTTGGTTTTGAGGAGCTCTCAAGTTCTGTACAATTATCAGCTCTTTTTTCAGACTGTAGGTACCTTTTATAAGTGTGAAAAGTACACTAACTTTAAGTATATAGACAGTATAAACTTTATATATTTGTTTTCACATAAAAGTTGTCACAGGTGGATGTGTTTCTACTTAGAGGCAGAAACGCATAGATATGGATTTCAATCTGGGCTGGTAGTCATTGCTATCATTAATTTTTCAAAACGCTATCAAAACAGATGTGAAATTTGAAGGCTTCTTTCCCCACACTGTAGTAGGTCAGGCCCTACCACTTGTTTGGAGAAGAAATAATTGTTACTTAATAATGTATGTATAGCTGTCTCTGATGCTTTAAAAGGAATCTGTCGAACGTCATCGAAGTATTTTCTGTCCGGCTTCAGCTCCCCTTCCTCACAGGATTAGTTCGTGTGTTTTTTGTTGTCATTTCAAAGTGGTGTCAGAAGTGATTTAGAGAGGTTCATGATATTTTATTTGAAACTGCTGGTGCTTAGATGTTTGAGGAAATCAAGTTTTTAGTGTGGATTAGAATGAAATATTCATCAGAAAATCACTCAAGATAATTTCTAAATTACATGTCAAAGAGATGCAAAAATGCAAGTACTCATGTGGTTATTTTAACTTTCAAACCTGAGTTAGATTTTTGTTAGTAATTATAAAATAAGTAAATAAACTTCAGTAAAATTGGAGTTCAGTGACTTGAGTTAGGAGTGATTAACTTTTTTAAAGACGGACACAAATAACTTGAATAGCTATAATTTGCTTTCTTTACAAGTGGGGGTTAAAGGTAGAGGACACAGGTTATACTCTGGTTTTTTCACTGCTGTTAAACTTAACGCTAATGTTAAGCAAAACGAAGCAGTTTTTGTTTTTTCCCTTCTGTACATTGTGCTTCCATGTATTAAAATTCATATTTGATTTAAAATAAACAATACATAATTTGCTCTTAAAGCAAAGATAATTTAAATATTGAGGAGTTCAAGAGAATATTAAATCATAATTCTTGACAATTATAGTTATGTTAGAATTAAATATTAAGTAATAAGACCATCTAGTGGTAAAATTTTCAAGTTTTAGTGAATGAGAAAGTCTGATACCTGTTTCACTAAATATGAACTTTAGAGCTTATCAGATAGCTGTACTATAAGACCATTAAAACTTTATGTCTAGAAAATAGTTTAGCCTGAGGTAGCTTCTCCTTATAGAAAATGAAGGCTCTCTGGTTATATCCTAAAGATCCTGTCTGCAAATTGCTCATTCAAATGCATGATATTTTTCTAGATTGTAATAATCAGAGCCACAAACAATAACTATAAAGAATAAAAATTGGGAACACAGTGGAGATTTAATAGCAGAATAGAATGTTAATATTTATATGCCTAAAATTTTTCCAATCTATTCTGTGACATCCAGGGCCTATTATGTGCCAGGAAATGAGTAAGACTCAGGTCCTGCCCATAAAAGAAAAGCACGCCATTGTTTGTCTTTGTATTTAGAACTTTTCAGAAGTGTTGGACATTGACAACTTGCTTTTTGAAACAATTAATCTTAAATAGGCCTGGAATCTGCATTTCAAACAAAGGTCTTTAAGGGATTGTTAGGCAAATACAGTTTGAGAATTATGCTATCTACTATGTCGCAATTATACAATAAAATGGCATCTTAGAAAATTTCATGCCTAAATGTAACTCAGATGTGTAAATGGTAAACATTTGCTAGGGAAGGAACAGATAAAATCAGCCACATGTTTATGGTTTTTCAACAAGTGTCACAAAAATAATAGAGCAAAGAAGCTGAAAAGAAACTGAAGAGATACTTTTTTCTAACTCTTTGCATTGTTGTACTGTTTAACAACATTATTAAATCTTTTTTTTTTTTTTTTTGAAACAGGGTCTCACTTTTTCGCCCAGGCTGGAATGCAGTGGCGTGATCTCAGCTCACTGTAACCTCCGCCTCCTGGGTTCAAGCTATTTTCTTGCCTCAGCCTCCCAAGTAGCTGGGACTATAGGCACATGGCACCATGCCCAGCTAATTTTTGTATTTTTAGTAGAAACGGGGTTTCACCATGTTGGCCAGGCTGGTCCGGAACTCCTGACCTCAAGTGATCTGCTCGCCTCGGCCTCCCAAAGTGCTGGGATTACAGGTGTGTGCCACCACGCCTGACCTATTAAATCTTTTAACAAATAAAATATGTCTTGAATATTTTTTTTTAATCGAACAGGACATTTGCTAAATGTTAAAAAAAGGATAGTTACTTTCGGCCAGGCATGTTGGCTCATGCCTGTAATCCCAGCAGTTTGGGAGGCCGAGGCGGGCAGATCACCTGAGGTCGGGAGTTCGAGACCAGCCTGACCAACATGGAAAAACCCTGTCTCTACTACAAATACAAAATTAGCCGGGCATGGTTGCGCATGCCTGTAATCCCAGCCACTCGGGAAGCTGAGGCAGGAAAACCTCTTGAACCCGGGAGGCGGAGGTTGCGGTGAGCCGAGATCACGCCACTGTACTCCAGCCTGGGCAACAAGAGTGAAACTCCGTCTCAAAAAAAAAAAAGGATAATTACTTTCACATAAGCTGTGACTGCCTGCTTTCGTTTCTAGCTATCACAATTAGCTGTTACTGTCATTCAAGAAGTTTTCCTTAGTTTTGAAATTAACTATTAAAATTAATTTGGAATATTTTTATTTGCCTCTGAAGTTAATTATACTATTCACATATTAATCTTGTGTTCAGACTTTTCGTTTTCATTTATAAAATAATTTTTCCCTCTAGGTGTTTGGAGTAGATGACAATCAGGATTATAATAGGCCTGTTATCAACGAAAAACATAAAGATCTAATAAAAGATTGGGCTCTCAGTTCTGCTGCAGCAGTAATGGAAGAAAGAAAACCACTGACTACATCTGGATTTCACCACTCAGAGGTATACATCTCTTCTGTGTACCTATTTGAATGCATAAAGTATAAATTCTTTTTTTTTTCTTGTCTGAGACAGAGTTTCACTCTGTTGCCCAGGCTGGAGTGCAATGGCAGGATCTCGGCTCACTGCAGCCTCTGCCGTCTGAGTTCAAGTGATTCTCCTGCTTCAGCGTCCCAAGTAGCTGTGATTACAGGCGTGCACCGCCATGCCCGGCTAATTTCATATTTTTAGTAGAGATGGTTTCACCATGTTGGTCAGGCTGGTCTCGAACTCCTGACCTCAAGTGATCCACCCGCCTCAGCCTCCCATGGTGCGAGGATTACAGGCATGAGTCACCGCACTTGGCCTGAATTCTTATCATTTGTAAATTACATTATTTTAAGCAATTAATGTATCTCCTTGTAAAATGCTTCTAAAAACTAAATTTTTATAAATTTATTTTCTAATGAAAGCCTAAAGCAATTTTGCAGTAATTCAACTTTAATTTTTATTAGGTGTTAGAAATATTCATTTGTCAATGAGGAAAATATTAGGTTTCAGTAAGCAGTTAATGAGCTATATGCTCATGGTTCTGATTGGCATTATGAGATAAAACAAGAAACATATCCTGCTTATACTTTCTTAGAAGTATATGTTTCCTGTATATCATACCAGGAAACATGTACGAGGGCACTGCCTGATAGATACAGTTTATATAACTCAGTAACTGCAAATACAGTACAGCCCGGGATATAATTAGAATAATATGAAATTAATTAAGGATTGCTTGGTTAAGATAATTACAGAGTCAGTATGCATAGTAGAGCTAGAAAGATCTGACCCAGAGCTGCCACTTTTAGCTCAAAGCTTTTGAATCAGTCACTTCTCCCTTATCTTCTGTTTTCTCATCTACACAAATGGCATTTTTGATAAAATATTTACAGAGAATTTAATGAAGTATATAAAGCATCCAGCATAGTACTTGCCTGAGATTTATGCACTTAACAAATGTTTTTTACCTTTATCAGAAATGATATTAGAATTTCATACCACATTGATGTGTCAAAAAGAAATGTAAAAAAGTATCTAAGGCATAAGTATTAATTATTATTTATTCAGATAATAAGAGCTAACCTTCAATGGAAGCTTTCGTTCTCTGACTCATGCTATATTGTCTCTCAGGAAATGAGCTAATTTGTAATATACAAATATAAATTAATAGAAAATAGGAAATAAAAGAAGAAAAAATATAAAAGAAGAAAATCAAGGTATAAATAAAGAAAATATAAATAAAATGTTACATTTGTATGAAGTATAAATAAGATTTGTTTCTTACATACAGGTAAATAGACCTATATGTTTGTTTGTTTATTAATGTTAAAATTGTTTCTTTATATGGCCTATTTCCTGAAAACTGTCAAAGCAATTACTGTATTTTAGTGCTCATTATTTCCCTGTGATTGGGAGAATTTTTATTCTGGTTTCTGTTTTATGAGATACTTAATTTACTTATTGAAAGCAGGTGATAATTATTTGAGGCAATATGATGCCATTCTGAGTAACCCAGGAATGGTTTTGGTAAATGTGAATTTAAATAGACTCTCTTCTTTCTTCTCTATTCCTTCAACCCCTGCCAAGCAAAAGCTATAGCCCTGGTAGGTTCCTTTGTAGGAATTACCTAACATTACCTAACAGGACATTTAGAACACTCTTCACAGAATGGTTTTACATACGCGTGTGTCAGTGACGCTCATACTGTTGGTATTCTTAGCATGGTCCACATGGCTCTGGTACCACCTTCACTGCTCAGAAATGTGGGCAGGTAACAGAAAACCTTGGATGGGATTAAGGATGCAGCAGGCTTTGGTATCCTTAGGAGGCTTCACTGTATGTGTGTCATTCTCTATACTTACTATTCTGTTTTTTTGAGACGGAGTCTCCCTCTGTCACCCAGGCTGGAGTGCAGTGGTGCCATCTCGGCTCACTGCAACCTCTGCCTCCCGGGTTCACGCGATTCCCCTGCCTCAGCCTCACAAGTAGCTGGGACTACAGGTGCATGCCACCACGCCCGGCTAATTTTTGTGTTTTTCGTAGAGACGAGGTTTCGCCATGTTGGCCAGGCTGGTCTCGAACTCCTGACCTCAGGTGATCCACCCGCCTTGGTCTCCCAAAATGCTGGGATTACAGGCGTGAGCAACCACACCTGGCCTGTACTTACTATTCTTACCTACTATTCTTGAAATCTTATAGTGATTTATCTATTTGAAGTCTTCACTTCTTCAGTGTTTAGCTTGTCATTATTAATGTATTAAATCTGGCACTTTTTTTTTTCTTTTTGAGACGAAGTCTCGCTCTGTTGCCAGACTGGAGTGCAGTGGCACGATCTCAGCTCACTGCAACCTCCACCTCCTGGGTTCAAGCAATTCTCCTGCCTCAGCCTCCCAAGTAGCTGGGATTACAGTCATATGCCACCATGCCCAGCTAATTTTTTATTTTTAGTAGAGACAGGGTTTCACCATGTTGGCCAGGGTGGTCTCGATCTCCTGACCTCATTATCCACCTGCCTCGGCCTCCCAAAGAACTGGGATTACAGGCATCAACCACCACACCCGGCCCAAATCTGACACTCTTAATAAAATATTTGTTGTGACTAGTTGGTAATAAAGTTTCCATCGTAGCTTTCCACTCCCTAGTTGTCATTACAGTTTTCATATGAAGCCTTGGCTTGTCTTGGATTTTCATTGAGAGGTGTCATTTTTAGTAACATAGTTTTTTTCAGAGAAGATCTTTATTTTCTAGAGAATTTTTATTTTATATAAGAGAAGATGTAATCAATGATAATATAGCAAGGTGAGGTTTAATTATGGGTTTGTATGGCAAGTTAATGTGACTAAATGAAATTGTCTTTCATGAGACTCAGATATGACCAGGCTGCATGATTTTGTTTTCTTATTTTTCTCCTTTAGGAAGGCACATCTTCATCTGGAAGCAAACGTTGGGTTTCACAGTGGGCTAGTTTGGCTGCCAATCATACAAGGCATGATCAAGAAGAAAGGATAATGGAATTTTCTGCACCTCTTCCTTTAGAGAATGGTATTCTCTTTCTCTCTTTCATTCTTTATCCCTTTTTTCTTCTCTTTCTCCATTTCTCTCTCTTTCTCTTACTCTTCTCTGCTTTTTTGTGAATCATATATCAGTTGTTATTATAAAAAACAAGCCAAATCTATATAGTAAGAAGTAAGTTAAACCTAAATAAACATATTCACATATTCTCATGCTGATAAATGAATTCATTTTATAAGTAAAAGGCTGATTTTTATTAGATATTGTATATTTTGAGGGATTTTAAGCAGGGGACAAATTCAAAGTGATAAAACTCTTTTTTGAGAAATTTTGTGGACTTCGTAAGTTGAGACTTCCTAAGGACAGGTGGACAGACACCAGCTTGGATTTAATATTTCATTCCGAGGCACTTTTCATTTTAGTTGTAAATTTCTGCTGTTGAAAATAAGAATGGTTTTTAAATTTTGTCTTTACTTTTAAATGAAAATTCTTCCTACTCTTTCTGATATGCTGATATCTTAAGATATGATTTTGACTAATGATGCAGCTATTATTCAAGTATAAACTTAACTGAAGATAAGGAAATAATTTTTAGATGAAGCATATATAGGTGTGTGTATATATTACATAGAAAGATGAAGCACATATATATTATATATATATAAGTTAAAATTTAAAAATAAGCTGAAGACAGGTCCAAACGATTTCATTCATAAATACAACAGATATTTATTGAGTGCCTACTTCATGTGGTACATTTAGTGAAAAAGAAGTTAATAATCTTACAAATCTATGTAGTATGACTTTTATTACCTTTTATATTTCTGTGAACAGAAATATAAAGGCTTTTTAAACAAAATGAAGTTGTGTACCTTCAAGGATTTCATTATTACTTTTTGTTCATTAGTTTTCTAATTAACAATAAGACCCTGAAAGGAGGATGAGGAGATGATGGTCAAAAGGTACAAAATCTCACTTAGACAGGTGGAAGAAGCTTTTTTTTTTCCTGAGGTCTGCTGCACAGCATGGTGAATATAGTTAATAATATAGTATTGTACATTTTAGATGTTCTCATCACAAAAAGTGTTAACTCTTTGAGGTGATGAATATGCTAAGTAGCTTGATTTAATTATTTCACATTGTATTTATGGTCAACATTTTATACACCATAAACATATACAAATATAAATTGTCAACTTACAATAAACAATTAAAAAACTTATCCAAGTTGAAAAATAAATACTCACTTACAGTTAAAAAGCAAAAAGACCCTCAATGAGATTTTGTATGTGGCTTTTATCTGTTTTCTTAATTTCATTCCGGTTGAAAATGGAAATTTGTTTTGTCTCAGGCTTGTGGCACCCCAAAAATCTGTTTTAAGAATTTTGTAAGTATTAGAAGTATTTGAGGAAGCTACATAGCAGTGTACTAGAAAAGCTACGTCATTTATTTATATTAGAATCTAGAAGTTATTGATAGTATGACCAAAAATTCTTTTGAGGGAACAGAGTCATTTGGTTCGTATAAACTGTGTTTAGGAAACAAAGAAACCAGACAGAAGGCTAGATAACTTTACCAAAGAATCCGTTATAAAATTATTAAGTATTATCTGTGAAAAGCAAAGTTCTACCCTTGTTATAAAAAATAATAGACCACTTAGCTTTCATGATCTCATTTCTATGTCATCATATTTAAATGAACTTATTTACATAAGCTGATAAATCTACTTAAATAATAAAACGTTTTTGTTAAGCATATTGAATGTATATGAGGAGGGGGCAGTATGAGAAATACTGGAAAAATACAAAAGGGTAAAGTAGCCATTACATTCTAGATGCTTCAGTTAGCACTAAGGAGATAAGATATATGAAAGAAGAAACAAAACAAGATATAACATGATTAATGACTAAAGTTAAATCTATCAGTTCAGTATGGATTTTCCTCCATCACATCCATTGTATTGATATGATATTTAAATACTAAACTTTTAGGATTGTAAAGAGGAAAAAAAAGACCCACAGAAGCTATATCTAGTATCTTTTCTCCATTTATCCCTAAAAGATTAGGAAGCTTTATATGTTAATTTATATTTCCCTGAAAAGATGTTTCCCTTTTCTCAGAAATACATTCCATTTTTAATAGTCAGGAAAATCCTTAAATATTCTCAAATTCTCTCAGGTGGAAAAATCAAAATATATATTTTCTCATTGGCTTCTACTTGAAAAAAAAGAAAGGGATTTTGTATTTCCATATGTGGCATTAATAACCAGAAGACTATAATTTAAAAATTCCTCAATTTATAAAATTTTGCTATGTCCTAACTATGAAAAGTCTGCTGTTACATACTTACAATTTTTAAAATTCTTTTAATCGGCTATAGATTTTTTTAAAATGTTGTTAAAAGTTCTGCATTTTTCACTTTACTTAGGAAATCCAAAATTATCATTCTTTCAAGTAGATAATACTTTTTAAAAACTAGTTATGTTGTTCTTCTCTACTATGTAGTTGAAAATATAGAAAATAAACAATGTTTATTTGACATTCTCTGTATAAATCTACAATAGATTCTGGTTTTTTGAGCAAACCTCAAGGATGGAAAGTTACAAAAGTGAGAATGAACACAGTGAACTTCCCTTCTATAAAACACATTAAGAGGAAAGAAGAGCAATATATTTAGGTTTAAGATCAGATGACCCTTTTATACCATTATGACTATAGTTAATAACAATGCCTTGGGTATTTGAAATAGCTGAAAGTAGATCTTAAATGTTCTCACCACAAAAAAGATAAGTACGTGAGGTAATGGATATATTAATTAGCTTGACTTAGCCATTCCATAATGGTATACATATATCAAAACATCATGTTATACACCACAAATATATATAATTTTTGTCAATTCATAAATAGAAAATTAAATATATGAAAGGAGAAAAATGATCAGATGACTCTAATTTTCATCTCATACAATTGGCCTTCCTGACTTCTCTAGGAATTGCTTATTTGTGCAGCTTGAAATTGTACTTAAACTACTTCGTCACAATGCTGGCTCGTTTGTTTTGTATACTTAAGTCATTTTTAACTTACATCTCAAAATGTAATGTAATATAGCTGGCCCTCTCTAGCCATAGGTTTTGTATTAGTGGGTTTTGCATCTGTGAATTCAACTGAGGATTGAAAATATTTGAGAGGGGAAAAAGAAATGATTGCGTCCCCACTGAACGTGTGTAGTCTTTATTTTTTTGTACTTATTCACTAAGCAATACAGTATAACAACTATTTACATAGCTTTTACATTGTATTAGGTATTATAAGTAATCTAGACATGATTTAAAGTATATGGGAGGGTGTGAGTAGGTTATATACAAATATTATACCACTTTATATAAGGTACTCAAGCATCCTTGGGATTTGGTATCCTGGGGGAATAAGGGGCCTGGAACCAGTCTTCATGGATACTGACAGACAACTGTATGATGCTCCTTTTATTTTTATTTTATTTGTCTTAATCAATTCCTTCTTTGTGGTTTTTATTTCATAGAGACAGAGATCAGTGAGTCTGGCATGACAGTGAGAAGTACTGGCTCTGCAACTTCCTTGGCTAGCCAGGGAGAGAGAAGGAGACGAACTCTTCCCCAGCTTCCAAATGAAGAAAAGTCTCTTGAGAGCCACAGAGCAAAGGTTGTAACACAGAGGTCAGAGATAGGAGAAAAACAAGACACAGAACTTCAGGAGAAAGAAACACCTACACAGGTATACCAGAAAGATAAACAAGATGCTGACAGACCCTTGAGTAAAATGAACAGGGCAGTAAATGGAGAGACTCTCAAAACTGGTGGAGATAATAAAACCCTACTTCACTTAGGCAGCTCTGCTCCTGGAAAAGAGAAAAGTGAAACTGATAAGGAAACTTCTTTGGTAAAGCAAACATTAGCAAAACTTCAACAACAAGAACAAAGGGAGGAGGCTCAGTGGACACCTACTAAATTGTCTTCCAAAAATGTTTCAGGTCAGACAGATAAATGTAGGGAGGAAACTTTTAAACAAGAATCACAACCTCCAGAAAAAAATTCAGGACATTCTACAAGCAAAGGAGACAGAGTGGCACAAAGTGAGAGCAAGAGAAGAAAAGCTGAGGAAATTCTGAAAAGTCAGACTCCAAAGGGAGGAGACAAGAAGGAATCCTCCAAGTCATTAGTGCGACAAGGGAGCTTCACTATAGAAAAACCCAGCCCAAACATACCCATAGAACTTATTCCCCATATAAATAAACAGACTTCCTCTACTCCTTCTTCTTTAGCATTAACATCTGCAAGTAGAATACGAGAAAGAAGTGAGTCTTTGGATCCTGATTCTAGTATGGACACAACCCTTATTCTAAAAGACACAGAAGCAGTAATGGCTTTTCTAGAAGCTAAACTACGTGAAGATAATAAAACTGATGAAGGACCAGATACTCCCAGTTATAATAGAGACAATTCTATTTCACCAGAATCTGATGTAGATACAGCTAGTACAATCAGTCTGGTTACTGGAGAAACTGAAAGAAAGTCAACCCAAAAGCGAAAGAGTTTCACTAGCCTCTATAAAGATAGGTGTTCCACAGGTTCTCCTTCCAAAGATGTTACAAAATCATCATCTTCAGGTGCTAGGGAAAAAATGGAAAAGAAAACAAAAAGTCGTTCCACAGATGTGGGTTCAAGAGCAGATGGTCGTAAATTTGTTCAGTCCAGTGGGAGAATAAGACAGCCCTCAGTAGACTTAACAGATGATGACCAAACCTCTAGTGTACCTCATTCTGCCATCTCTGATATTATGTCATCTGATCAAGAAACTTACTCTTGTAAACCTCATGGACGGACTCCACTTACCTCAGCTGATGAGCATGTACATTCCAAACTGGAAGGAAGTAAAGTAACGAAATCTAAGACTTCTCCGGTGGTATCTGGTTCATCTAGTAAATCAACCACCCTTCCAAGGCCACGACCTACCAGGACTTCCCTCTTGCGCAGAGCACGACTTGGTGAAGCTTCAGACAGTGAACTTGCTGATGCTGACAAAGCATCTGTTGCTTCTGAAGTATCCACAACAAGTTCTACATCAAAACCTCCCACAGGAAGGCGTAACATCTCTCGGATTGATTTATTGGCTCAGCCTCGTAGAACACGACTTGGCTCACTGTCAGCTCGTAGTGACTCTGAAGCAACAATTTCTAGAAGTAGTGCCTCTTCGAGGACCGCAGAAGCCATCATTAGAAGTGGAGCCAGACTAGTACCATCAGATAAATTTTCTCCTAGAATTAGAGCTAACAGTATCTCTCGACTCTCAGACTCCAAGGTCAAAAGTATGACCTCAGCTCATGGCTCTGCTTCAGGTAAATTGGATCCAGATTTCTAATAGCATTAGCATGTTGTATATTTGGGGGCTCCTTTTTTTTTTTAAAAAAAAAAGTAAGGTTCTAGTTGTCTTCCCAAGATACTCATTCAAAACAAAAGTTATGATATACGGGGCAGCGGCGGTGGGGGGTCTATAAAACAGTTTTATTTAGCATAGTAAATGGAAAATCAGAAGTTATACATACTTCCAATTAGAGTCCTGGCGCAAAATAGTGATTTCAAAACTAGGAATTCATTGAGCTGATTTAGGAGTTTTAATTTTCCAGTTGGTGCTATATTTGGATGTGTGTGTCAAAATTAAATTATCTGGAAGTATCTGGTTTAAAGTATAGGAATTAACATTGTGCTTCTAAAAGCATGTGTTTAACCTTTAAATATCCTCACATAATTCAAAGCCCTTAAGAACTTGAAGAAAAGCAGTATATGCTTTATTACTCCTTTCAGAGTTAAATGAAATAATCAATGTTTTCTTTTTTTTCCCTACCCATTTTGAAATGTCTCACATACTTTACCTATACTTTTTAAAGTTAAATCTGTTTATAGTTGGAGCAGGTGAAAACTAACCTTAATTTATTTCAGTGGAAGAAGATGGATTCATGGGGAATCACTCAGCGTATATTGGCCAAACTGGGCTGTAGAAATTTAACTGGTTATGAGCATTATCTCACAAAGTGCTGTTATATCATTTAACTCTAGTAATTAGGTGTAATTGAATATAATAACTACAAAAACTACTTACTTTCCACCAGAATTTAACTGATGCTGTTATATTTGTTTGCTTATGTGCTTTGTATTCAGAGCTGAGGCCATTGAGATACATGTGTGACCAAAGAGTAATGAGGTGGATATTTGTTTGTGTCCTATATGCATGTTCTCATTACTTCATAATGAGCCTCATATGTGGACGTGGCTGCAAAGGCCAGTGTGGGAGGCCAGCTGTTACAACGGACATGAAGATGTGTGATTATTTTCAGTAGGCAGACATCTAAGTAAGCCCTAAGTCTTGAGTTAAGAGTGGAGGGGAAGTTGATATGAAATTTCATCTTTTTATTTTTGATTGGTTTACATCTACCACACCATCTCCTACAAGACCCTAAAGGAACAGTACTTTGCATATGATACTTTTTTCACTTTTCTTCCTCTTTTCACTGCTGCTTTCCTCCACTCCATTCACCTGTATCTCTTTGCTGGTCAGTGGGTTTGGTAATGATGGTCACTGTCTATGGTAGAAATGGACGTAGGGTGAAGCCAGATAGCATATAATCATGATTCCAAAAAAAATAGACAACATTTTCCTTATTACCCCAGTCCTCATTTCCACACTTGAAGCTTTGGTTGGTGGTTCACAAATTTATTGCCAAATATTTTAAAACTAACTACTACATTTTGGTTTATTTTCATTCTGTTTTTGGTTATGGCTCTACTTCAATTCACATTTCATCTGTGCTGCATTTCCTGATGAAATTTCTTCTGCTGTACTCCTTGTTTTATCACCTCATCTCCATTAAGATATGTATGTATTTTCCTGTCTTAACATAATTTCTATGTTACCAGATAGCTTGGAGTACCTCTTAACACATGATGTGGTTTTATTCCTCGATATTTAGGATAAGGCTTGAGATGCAAGCTAAATATGATTACTTCAGCAAGTCTAAGAAACAACTGTAAGATGCTATATATAAAGACAGATTTCATTTTCTGCTTCTTTGAATACAGAACTTGATAAATACTCAGTTTTCTGTGTCCAAAAATAACCTTGAATTGTGTATGAAATTCCCTAGGACACATTGATGTATATGATTTTAGTCTTTTCATACTTACTAGCAGTATATTAAATAATTAGAATCATGGAATTTAAAAGTTAGAAGGGTTATTCTCTTAAGGGAACCAAGGCCAAGAGAGGAAATAACCTGCCCTGGGCACATGGCAGTGGCAGGGGCAGAATAAGAATCAAAGACTTTTAATCCCCAGCCTGTTTTTCTACCGTATCTATTCTAGCTCTAAGAAATAGTTTCAGTGTTTACTTGTATGCAAGCTTCCAGAAGACAGCTAGAATCTACTGGATTATTATCAGGAGTATATGCAAGGTCAATATACAATATAAAGGTTTTGGTATTGTTTACTAAAATCTTTGCAGTTCTGATGTTTTACCCAGTTTATATTCTCTATTCCACCTTATGAGTGTAAAGCCATATTGTAATCTAGGATTGTATATTCAGATTCTCTCAAGATACCCACTTATAGTATTAGACCTTATCTAGGACAGTGGCCAGGATCTTTCCTTCAGTGAGAACATACTATAATAGCTGTATGGAAAAGGTGGTCAAACAAACAAACCTACCTGTTTGATTTTGCTAATTTGGTGCCTTTGATATTATAACATTTCTTTTTAAGATAATTATAATATTTTGAATGGAAAAAGAAAAGCAAAATTTTAACTTTTGAAACATGATTTAAAAGAATGTTAAATCATGCCGATCAGTGTTGCTGTGCACAGTATAAACTTTAAAGACCTTGGAAATAATCTGAACCTAGCACTTGTGATATTGTCCCAATTGGATATGTAAAAATAATTCCATAATGTTTCCAATTCCATATTTTAGATGATGTCTCTAAAATATTTTTAGGCCAGCACAGTGTTTCATGCCTGTAATCCCAGTATTTTAGGGGAGGCCAAAGTTAGAGGATTACTTGAGCCCAGGAGTTCAAGGCTGCAGTGAGCTGTGATCACACTACTGCATTCCAGCCTTGGACAAGTGAGACCCTGTCTCCATTAAAAAAAAGTTTTTTTTAAAGAAATGTATGTGATAAAAATAGAAGATTGGAAATCTCAGATTTAGCAATATGAAGAGAAGAGTTCTGTATGTTTCTCTGATGTAATTTGCAATTTGCTTCTAGGAGTTTAACTAGTTTTTTTTTCCCCAAAACATTCTTTCAGTGCTTCTTTTTTTTTTTTTTGAGACGGACTCTTGCTCTTGTTGCCCAGGCTGGAGTGTAATGGCACAATCTCGGCTTACTGCAACCTCTGCCTCCTGGATTCAAGTGATTCTCCTGCCTCAGCCTCCCAAGTAGCTGGGATTACAGGCGTGTGCCACCATGCCCGCCTAATTTTTGTATTTTTAGTAGAGGAGAGGCTTCACCATATTGGGCAGGCTGGTCGGTCCTCCCGTGTCAGCCTCCCAGAGTGCTGGCATTACAGGCATGAGCCACTGCGCCCAGTCTCCTTCAGTGATTCTTGATATCAAGTTGTAACTGAAATATCCAGATTTATTTTGGCAAGATATATTTAAATTTAAAGACCTTGAATTATCAAAATAAAGCACTTGGTTTTCATTATGTTTTAAGTGCACATTTTAGAAAATAAAAACATTATGTTAATATCCTTAGAATTTTTTGAGACTGTTTGCAGTCCCTTTTTAATTCTAATCTTCAAAATTTATAGGCAGTAGAAATTAAATGTTAGACATGCATGGCTTGAGTTAACTCTTTCTCCAGGTCAAAGGACAAAACAGAGCATTGTCAGCAGTTTTTCTCCCCAGCTGATCTTATTGCTGAATGCTCATAAATATACATTCAAAACATGTTTGTGGTAATTTTCCACTAAAATATTCTGATATTGTATGAAGATGCAATGTGTGTTTTCTGAAGCGTGTTTGCAAAATCTATAGTTGTATGTTTTAATGCCAACAAAGAAATTGGAACATTCACAGAAATATGATACTAACAACTCTTTTTTTCCTTTTTAAGTCTCTAGACATCATAAATGATAGTATGTTTTTGTAGTGAATATAGTAGTTTAGTACTACAACACAAGAGGGAATGTTGCCTATTTTATAATTAAAAAATAAATTTTGTAATGAATGCTGTAGCTCTAGCTACAAGCTTAATCAAGCCCATCTTGGAACTTTCATTTTAATATATATGCTGTCTAGGCCTTTACTAACGAATAAGTCTCTTAGAGATAGGCATTTCAGACACCTTCCAATGCCTTAGTAATATCAACCCATCAAATGAGCCTAATAATATATTAAGAAAATCAAATTTATTTTTATAAATTGTTACTTAAGCTGAATAAAATTCAAGAGAAAGAAATAAATTTTTTCTTCAACACAGGTAGATATCAGAAAAACTATCATTACATGAGAAATTTAGGATGTCTTTTTAAAACAACTTGGCTGGGCACAGCGTCTCATGACTATAATCCTAGGACTTTGGGAGGCTGAGGCAGATGGTTTACCTGATGTCAGGAGTTCGAGATCAGCCTGGCCAACATGGTGAAACTCCGTCTCTACTAAAACTACAAAAATTAGCCAGACATGGTGGCAGGTGCCTGTAATTCCAGCTACTCTGGAGGCTGAGGCAGGAGAATTGCTTGAACCTGGGAGGTGGAGATTGCAGTGAGCCAAGATGGCGCCATTGCCCTCCAGCCTGGGTGACAGAGGGAGACTCCATCTCAAAAACACACACACACACACACACACACACACACACACACACAAAACCGGAAACAAAAATGTAGAATGTATACAACACTTGGAATAACAGAGAATTCGTTTTGAACTCTGGGAGTCCATAGACCTGGCTTATACTTTGATTTCAGCAAGGTAAGACCTCTCTGGGCCTGTTTCTTCTCTTTAAATGGAAGAATTTAGACTCATGTCAAAGGCCATTCTTCTAAAATTTTATGAAATAAGTAGATGGGGGGAAATTTAAAATATTTTAACTTGAAGTTTATTTGGTGTTAATTAGCAGGTGATAGGGAATTTTCTTTAGAAGAAAAAAGGTTAGGTAGCTGCTATAGTTTGGAAGCAAATGTTAAGAAAGAAAGTTTTGAAATAAATTCTTTGAGAAATAACAGGTTAGAGGGCCTAGCATTGAACTCCCTTTCCCAGTCCCTTCTCCACCAGTAGCCATCATTTCACTCAGTCTCAGCTCTGCTCTTTGTCGTTACGCAGACTGTGTCCAGAGTTAACTGGAGCTTTTCTTCATAGCATCCCATGTGTGATATGTTTTCCACTGGCAAAGGGAGCTCTTAATTACTTAATGATTTTTAATCACATTTTTATTTCTCTGCTGTATGCTGATTATCCAGTTTCCTCCTCAATTTTAAAGAACATACCTAAAGATGTTACCTTTTACTTTTTAAAATATGCTGTATTCGTTTGATTTTTTTCTTTTTGTTTTGTTTTTGTTTTTGAGATGGAGTCTGGCTCTGTCACCAGGCCACAGTGCAGTGGTGCGATCTCAGCTCACTGCACCCTCCGACTCCAGGGTTCACGTAATTCTCCTCTCTTAGCCTCCCGAGTAGCTGGGATTACAGGCGCGCCCTACCACGCCTGGCTAATTTTTGTATTTTTAGTAGAGATGGGGTTTCACCATGTTGGCCAGGAGGGTCCCGATCTCTTGACCTTGTGATCCTCCCACCTCAGCCTCCCAAAGTGCTGGGATTACAGGCGTTAGTTAGCCACTGTGCCCGGCCCCTGATTGCTTTTAAAAGATATTATTAGTAGCTTTACTATTCTTACTGACTTCTAGGTAGACCAGCCTATGAAAAGAGATGGAAAGTTTGTGAAAAGGAAGTTTTTCTCGTACTTTTTTCCTCAAAATGTAATTGCATTTTGATCCTAAGCTCAGACTATTAAAAGTTGATTCTAGCATGGCTCTACTTATATGTGATCACCTGACATTTAACGTATATTAATAGCACTTGGTACTCAATTTCTCCTTCTGCTTTCATGTAGTCTGCCACGAAATGTATCAGCCATCGATGCCATTCTTTCTAAGTTACCTCAAAATTAACTGTCTGAGTTTTATCATACTTACGTTTTCATATGTTCTGCAGTTATTAAAGCTCTTTGTTAATTGCTTTTCTTTTCTCTCTAGTTTCCAATCATATGTATAGTGACCATAGTTGCCTCATCAAAAATCAGAACATTTGATGTAACAAATGATTTTTTTCTTATTTATGAACACTATTGTAAGATAGCACAAGAAACACACATTTAGCATTTAATGAAATGTTTTTTTGAAACGTACAAATTTGTTTACACTATTTCTGATTTTGCCTGCCGTATTTCTTAATTTTTTTCTAAACCTCTTTACTCTTGTTCTAAACTTTTCCTAAAATTGGTTTCAAGTCTCAGGATCACTTCAACTCACAGAAGTTTTTTTATCTAGAAATGAGCACATTATCACCATGGTAAAAGTATTATCTATGTTAATAAATTATCTTACAGTGTTAAAATCAGAAATTATATTTAAGCTCCTCAAAAAAGGTCTATGACTAATTACCTAGTATATGCATTTGCATACACTTTTACAGAGAGCCATGAACTTTCTGCATATGTTCATTCTGTCATACCTATGAATGAATCTAGTTCCAAACATCAGGATCTGTAAATAGGGGTGTGAATAAGGACGAATCGATAGGCTCTAATTTATGGCATATTCCTCGTTGTAGAGTTCTCTGTTTCTTAAGCCAGTTCTGGTGGCAATATATGCCAGTTTTATCTGAGAGCAACCTCAGCCTTAGAGATCCCCAGCTGAAAATGTAGTTTTTGGAGGAAAAGACATAAAAGGCATAAAATTAGAGTGGAGGAATTTCTGGATTCTGTGCAGCTTAGGGTCAGTTTCTATTAAAAAGGAAGAAGATGCTAAGGTTTTTTCACTTTAAACACCAATAACATTTAATGCTTTTCACTAGGTTTCGGAAAAGTAAATGTTTACATCCAGGAATTCTTACATTTTTTTCAAAAATATTTGTTAAACATTTGCTAGCCAACACTCAGCTAAGTGCTAGGTATACATTATTGGATTAAACAGACATGGTTCCTGCCCTTGTTAGGTTTACCAGGAATTAGCCATTATCTCTCTTTTTACCTCTATTTATGCTTCACAAATTATTTGTATGTTTGATTCTCATATTAACAGTAGTAAAGTGTCTGCCTTGTCTTCTGATTTTTTAAATGTGTGAGCAATACCATTTTTTAATGTCTTTACTAACTGTAAATAAGAAAGTGATTGCCACTTTCTTTAATGTGACTCTTCACAGTATCTCCTGTGCCTTCAGTGTCAATGGTTGTGACAAAAGCTTGTACAGTTTTGCTTTTTGTAGATTTTATGCCATTGTCTATTTTCACCATATGCTTTCAGTGTCAAAGCAGCAGAGAGTTGTACTGAAGATGCTTTGTTGTGTTTTTTTACCACGTAAAAAGATTTTTTCCAACCATAGCGTAACAGGATGTTGAATGACAGAGGTAATGTTTTTTTTTCTGCCATAAAGGCATAATTTCCACAGCCGGAATTATGCACATCTGTATGTTGGGAAAAGAGAGTTTTTACCATCTCCATGTTGAAAGTCCATGTGGCATGAGGAAATCTTTTCCCTTGTTTTTATTTTTGTTGTCGTTGATGTTGTTACTGTCTTTTTTTTTTTGAAAAATTCATATTTTCACTCAAGTAAGAAATATTTGCAATTGAAAAGTACTCCAGTTAAACATCGATGGATAGAGCTTGCTTAGTTGTTTATCATTAGCGAAATTTTTCATCTGAATGTTTACTCACCACACTATGGAAAACATGGTCTTCCAATTGTTTTTGATTCTTCATTGTTTTTAATTCACCGAAGTGTAATGTTTCTATCTCTAAGGAGTAGTAGACTTATGGTTTTTGTGAGGTATGTGTACGTCAGTTATTGAAAATTGTGCCGTGTGTGCGCTCTCATGGTGTTTTGAAGTCATGACTTTTATTTTACCTCCTTTAAATGATAACATAATAATTCTTTTTTTAATAATTAAACTAATTTAGTAAATTCAAGATGGAGGCGCTTTCCTACTGATTATGCTTCCACCTCAGAAGATGAATTTGGATCAAACCGTAATTCCCCTAAACATACCCGTCTACGTACTTCTCCAGCCCTGAAAACCACTCGCTTGCAGAGCGCTGGATCAGCAATGCCTACTAGTTCTTCATTCAAACACCGGATTAAAGAGCAGGAAGACTACATCCGAGATTGGACTGCTCATCGAGAAGAGATAGCCAGGTTGGTTTTCAGGACTTATCTTTAAGAATTCAAAATTTCTATGAACATTACAACTTGGTAACAAAGTTTAGCTTGTACTTGATTTTTACTAATAGTCTAAGAACTGAAATCCACAGATAACTGTGAACTCCGTTTAGTCAGTAGTATTACTCTCTATCCAGCTTTTTTTCTTTTTTTTCTATGCCTATACCACTAACATATTGTAGAATTAATTTATTTTGACCTTTTCTGTCTCCCCCCCTCCCTTTTTAAGAATTTCTTTTAAAGATGGTGATAAGTAAGTGAAACTTTGAAAGGTAGGCAGTATCAGATCTACATAATTAAGAACTGCAGGCAATTTATGGATTACTTTCCTTTAAACTTCCAAAGATGTAATAGTATACCTTTTAGAGATGTGGCTACTGCTCTCTGGAGAGAATTAGGGTAAGCAGATTTTCACTCATACTTTATGAGCTCATTAAGTATGGGCAGTTCAACCGTTTAGTAAGTAAAACAAAATATGACTATTTTGAAGATTAAATCTGTTTATAGTAACCTTTAGATTATGTACAAAAAAAATTTATGCTGCAGATATGATTTTTAATTAATAACTTATGGAAATTAATAACTTACTATGGCTGAACTTTGAAGAGAGATTATACTCAAGCAGATACTATAGTAGTTAAAATATAAGGATTTTTTGTTTAAAGTTTGTGAGATGTTAGATTTTACTGCAGTATACCATATGTTACCTAAACATTTTCACTGTATACATACTAAGCTTACTTCTGTCTTTAAGACCTTAATCTTCAAGTTGTATACTTGAGGACATTATTAAAGAGTTTATACATAATATTTCATAGATGCTTTTAAAAAACAAGAAACTTTTACTCTATGTTAATGTTCATCTTTTTTGTTCTTTATTTCATTGACTTCTGTGAATTGTGTTTTTTCTGGCTCATTGGTTTGATGTAATGTTTAGTTTTTTATTTTTAAAGACTATTCACTTGTCATCGCTTTTATTCTTGGAGAGAACATGCCTTTCTAATCTCATCGTGCTGCTTAAAACATTTTTGCTTTATCATACAAATAGCTTTTTAGGAGAGTAATTAATGAAGCATTTTAAGCCAGTTGTTCTAGTTAGAGGAAAGGCATATATGTACTTTGGGATCCATGGATCATTATGGGCCAACAAAATGCTTGTAGTGAGAGCATCTTGACACATTTTTTTGTACTTCCAGGCGCTGCTAGCAACAACAGGTCTTACTCTTGTCTCATCATTTTTCCCCTTCCCTTGAAAAAGATGTCCAGCTACACAAGATCCAGTGGTGCCTGTATGTCTAGATGCCTCCTGGCAGGAGGCCTCCTCTCTCAAGCTCCCTCTACCCCAAACTAGAAAGACTAAAAACCTTCTTCTGAGCCAAATACACTTCCCTACCCCCAAATAAAAAAACAGTTGTAATACAAAGAGAAGAGGGAATAAGGGCTATACACTGTATTTTCACTTGGTTCCATTTTGCTATGTGCATAGTGTTACTATTATCAATGTGTACTTTTTATTATCTATGGCAGGACTTTAAGAACAGGCTATTTAACCTACAGTGATGTTCATGCCTTATCCCTCTAGTTTGTCAGTAGCACTATGCTAATAAAACTTGCCTTTGGGATTTTAATTTTTCAAGTTATACTTTCTAGCTATATATCTCAAAGCCAGAGAAGTGGTTTTTTTGTTTGTTTTATGTGGAGAAAAAAGGAGGGTGGTGGAAGGAAGGAAAGATACAAAATATGGAAGGAAATGTGGATATTTAATGTTTCTATAGAGCAGTGATAAGTTTGCTTAGGGTGAGAAAATGTATTTTCAAATGGCTATGAATCACAAACTAAGTAGAATATGAGAAATAATTTTATTTATTTAAATGAACTACTGTCACCTAAAAGACTCCTGTGCTGAGAGCAATATTTGAAGAGTAATAGATAAAGACACTTTTATTTGAAAAAGATAATAGTGATTTTTAATTTATTACAAAAATGTTTTATGCTTTAGCATACTCTTTCTGTTTAGAATTTAGGACTATTTCACTTGATCAGCACTTTGTTAATCTGTACATAGTAACTGTTTACCTGCATTTAAATTTAAAGCACAAAAGCAAGCTCCATTTAGAATATGAAGTGTATAAGCGAGATATGGCATATTTGGTCTTCAGTTTGATGAGGGAAGGTTTCTTTCAGGTATCCCTGATGCATATGCTTTGGTAGCTCCTGCCTCAGTTTCTCTGTTATGAAAACAGATATTGACTTCCATCGAGTAGGAATGTAAGACATGATGCAGGTTTTTATGAATATTAGGGTAAACAGAGCTACAATACCAGCTTTACAGATAACCAAATGAAATACATTCAACCTAAAAATTATACTGGAAGATT